>NC_000022.11:35830776-35982291 GCF_000001405.40 Homo sapiens | reverse complement strand
TTAAACAGTAGAAAGAATAGAGAAATACTGGTTTAATGGGTAGAACACAGGGTGGGGGAATTAGGACTCTTCCTTTTCGGTCTTTTGTGTTCAAAAGTATAGCAGCTTTCTTTGCTTCTTGCTCCTAGCATCAGATTATCTATTCCCCTGGAATTATGTGGGTTGGAGAAGAATGGAAAGGAATTTGCCCACCTGCATGGAGAGAGAGGGAGGCAGTAGGGATGTGGGTGTTTAAAAGCCCTTGGCATGATTGGCTGTAAGTACAGATGGCTATTTGTGTTACCATTATTGTAGCTGTTATGCCTACATTCCCTTTGGTGTGCCTCTCTACAGGGATAATTGTGGGGTCCTGACTTATAAGTCTTCCTGCTGCTGGATAAAATAGATGCTGATGTGTTGTGCGTTACAGGGTATACAGTGAATTCTGTGTGGGCTGTCTTCTTACTGCTGCCTTGATCTTTTGGGGCCTCAAACATAAGGGGAAAATGACTAATTTTGTGTGTGCAAATTCACATTGGTGAAAACCAGTAAAACCATAAAAATGGTTATATTCAATTTTCCTAAGGGATTGACCTCCAAATGAAGCTAAAATTAACTTTGGTGAATGCTTATATTTTTAAATTTTTAATTCTAATTTTTTTTTTTTTTTTGAAATGGAGTCTTGCTCTGTCACCCAGGCTGAAGTGCAGTGGCATGATCTTGGCTTACTGCAATCTCAGACTCCTAGGTTCAAGGGATTCTTATGCCTCAGCCTCCTGAGTAGCTGTGACCACAGGCGGGCACCACCACACCTGGCTAATTTTTGTATTTTTAGTAGAGATAAGGATTTACCATGTTGGCCAGGCTGGTCTCGAACTCCTGGCCTCAAGTGATCTGCCCACCTTTCCTCCCAAAGTGCTGGGATTACTGGTGTGAGCCACCACGCCTGGCTGAATGTTTGGATTTTTGAAAGCATTAAATACCAAGGGCTGAGTATCTAGGGAAAAGGTGATTTGTCTGTGAAATCCAAGGAACTGGCTACATTCTGTGTATAACTCTGAGGGAAATAGAACAGAAAGAGGATGGGCTTTACAGTTGCTCTGCATATTTTTTGTTGTGGGACCTTGCTCAATCTACCTAACTTTTCTCAAGCCTCAGTTTTTTCATTAGTAAAATGAAGATAATAATTACTACCATAACGTTGTTTTGGTGATTAAAAATTTATTATTCCACTACTAAAAGCCTTTCAAAGGCTTCTTTCTTAGTATTTATGTCCCAACAGAATGGAATCACTTGCTATCTTTTTCTCCTCTGTGCTTTTTTACCATTTTTCTTGTATCTCTTTTTACCTCTCTACTCAGAAAATTCTCCATAAAGTAAAACACATAACATAAATACATAAGCGTGCAAAGTCAGGTTGCTCCTTAGATCTCAGCCAAATGGTATTTTGTTTTCAAGGAAGCCTTTCCTGAGCCCGATCCCATTCCAGTCTGGAAGATGTCCTTTCTTTTAATTTGTCTGTCCCACCTGCTAAACTGTAAGTTCTCTGAGGGCAGAGATTGTCATATTTACTATTGGGTCTTCCTCTTTTTTGTCTTGTAAATGGTGTATGGTCTGTATGCAAGCTGCTTGCAAAACTCAGGGCAATACCAAGAGACATAGCACCCCCCACCCCCGCCCCAATTGATTTATAACCAGAAGAAAACCGCTTAATTTTCACCTAATTGATGGTAAAGCCTGGTTACTTTGGGGATAAATTTGGCTTTGAAAGTAAACCTGATGCTTTGTGCTTTGGTAGATATTTAACTTCTGTTCTCTTTCATACACAAGAGTTACTCCTTTGCTTTGAGTAGAAAACCATTAGAAAACCAGGGTAGAACTTTTGGCAATTATCCAGTTTAGTAATTGGGCCAAATAGTTCTAATCTCACCACAACCACTACTTCTTAGAAAATGATCTCTTTAAACAAAACATGGAACATCTCTGAGGATGAAAACCTAAGGGAAGGAATAGTTGGAGATCCCCAAATATACTCATATAGATTCCCCCCATTCTTTTTCCTATTTATGGGTGTTCAAGCCTTGGAGAGATGTGTGTGTGTTGATCACATAGGATCTTTTACCTACATGACCTAAGTATATTCCGTTGTGGCCTTTGGTCTATTTTTTTTATACATCTCAAATGTTATCTTTTAATAGGTCATAATGAATTTGTGGTGGAGTAAAGGCCCAACATTCCCTGTACAAGTAAAGGCAAACCATAGCGCCAGTAACCCTTTACTAGTTTATAAGTAAAGGCTATCTCTGTTAGCCTGAATTCCTTGAGGGCAGGGATGGTCTGATTGATTTTCCATCCTCAATGATAAGTAAAGATATTGGCACATACTTCGTTACGTGATGGTTACCTATTTGTCGAATGAGGTAGCATGGTGTAGTAGATTAAAGGCTCCAGAGTTTGACAGACTGAGTTAGTATGGCACTGACACTTGTTGAACCACGTTTTAACCTTTCTGAGCTTTAGGATCAGCTTTCGTTGTGAGAATCAAAGACATTGTACTCTTAAATTCCTGTTAGTGGCTATTATTTTTTCTCCATTGATTCTTTATTTTGAAATAATTTCACATTACAGAAAAGTTACCAGAGCAGCTAACAACCCACAAAACACCCCAAACTCCTGGATTTTCTTCACTCGGATTCCCCAGTTGTTAATATTTCACTGCATCTGCTTCATTGCTCACTCTGTGTGTTTGTGTGTGGGGTTTGTGTACATACATACCCTTTTTCATTGTGCCTTTTCTGAGCTTTTTTTGAGAGCAAGCTGCAGATGTGATATTCCTTCACTCCCAAACACTTCAATGTGTATTCCCCGAAATAGGACTTTCCTATATAACTGGCAGAGATCTCCAAATCAGGAAATCAATATTAGTACAACGCGACCATCCATCCACAGACTTCGTTAACATTTTGCCAGCTGTCCCAGCAATGTCTTTTTCCTTTTTGGTCCGGTATCTTGTCTAGGAATATGCGTTGCATTTAGTTGCATGTCGCCTCAGACCTCTTCAGCCTGGAACAGTTTCTCAGTCTTTACCTTTCTTTCATGTCCTTGACATTTTGAAGAGTCTAGATCTGGGTCCATCTGTTTCTTCATGACAGCAGTAATATCATTTTCGGCAGGAATACCACTGCAATGATGCTATGCTCTTCTCATTGCATCATATCTGGAGGCAAATGCTGTCCCCCGCATCCCACTGTCAGTAATATTGTTAACCTTGAACAGCTGGTTAAGCTGATGTCTGCCAGGTTTCTCCACATCAGATTCATCATTTTTCCTTTTGTAATTGATTATTGTCTTGTGGAAAGGTATTCTGAAATTATACTACTATCCTGTTCCTCAACAGATATATACCTAACCTCCTTAGCGCTATTGACTACTCTTTCCTGAACCAACCAGTTTTATTCTGTCAAATGCTAGTCCTCTATTTCTGTGTCTGCCTGTATTTGTTAGATGTCATTCTGTTACAAAGACTTTCCCTTTTTCATTTGTTTATTTCTATCAAATGGACTCATGGATTACTATTTTATTCAGTGGGCTGTAGTCCATTTCTATAATTATACTCCTCAAGCTTGAGGGAGCTTGAAAGTTTAGCCAGTGGGACCTGCTTTATGCTGGTTTCTTTGTCCTTTTGACCTGTCCCCATCATTCATGGGACATTTCCTTATTTTCTGCCACAAGAAGGTTTTCCAAGTTTATTTTGTACTTTTCCTACCAAAGCCTTGGAATCAGCCATTTCCAAGAAGCTCTGGTTCTTTTAAATGGAGGATAGTAATTAGAAACCAACATCTGGGTGGTGGGTATGCATATTGCTACTAGAGTGTCCTTGCCTCTAGGCTGTCTCAGCAAACAGCTAGAAATTGTGTGTATGTGTACATACATATGTACATAAACACATATATACCACATATACATCTATATTTCCATATCTCTTTGTGCTATATACGTATATATACATGCATGATGTTTGTGTGTGTGTTACATATTTTAAATTATAAAACAATGCATTTTATATTATAAAATCATGAATTCACACTGATAACTCCATTAAATGCAGCCAACCTCTTTCCATATTTGTAAATATATTCTCCAGTAGGGAAAAACTTGGCTCCCCTTATCCCCAATATGTTTACTTATTTGCTCAGTGTAGCCAGTTTTCCAACCGCGATGGCTGACTCCACCACCTCTGTACCCTACTCCTCATGTTCTGGAATCCTCAGTCAATGGGCTCCTTTGGCCCATTCTTCCTTGTGGCTTCCTAATCTCCCTAGAGTTTCCCAGCTTTACCTGTAGTCTTCCAGTGCCCCCTGACCCCCAACCACTCTTATCTTTGGCCTCTGGGCCTGCTGTCCTGTGCATCCTTGATTCCTCAGCTGCTCACCTACCTGTGTCCTTGGCTGCTGTGCTAACTCCTCTGTGACGGAAGGGGGACAGGGCTTTTTTTTTTTTTGAGGGGGATTTTATACGTATACACATATGTATATGTGTGTGTGTGCATGTATATATATATATATATATATATATATATATATATATATAGTTCATTCAGGTATAATTTACATGCAGTAAAATTCATTCTTTTAAGGCTACATTTCTATGAATTTTGACAAATGTAATATAGACATGTAACCACTACCACAATCAAGATATAAAATGCGTCCATTACCGTAGAAAGTTTCTTCAGGCTCTTTCACAGTTAGTTCTCTCTTCGCATCCGCAGCCACTGGCATCACTGATCAGATTTCTGTTCCTATGATTTTGCCATTTCTAAAATGTTATATAAATGGAATCATGTATTATGTAGCTTTTTGAGTATGGCTTCTTTCACTTAGTGTAATTCTTTTGAGATTCGTCTGTACTGTTTTAGGTATTAGTAATGCATTCCTTTTTTGCTGTTGAGTAGCTTCATTTCTCTTGGGTAAATACCTAAGGTTGGGAATGCTGCAGGGTCATATAAGTGTATATGAAGTGTTTAAGTGTATGAGAAACTGCCAAACTGTTTCCCAAAGTGGCTGTACCACTTTGGATTCCTGTCAGCAATGAATATATCTACATTCTTTCCACTATTTGGTATTGTCCGTTGTTTTTTTAAAAAATGAGAGTCCTTCTGATAGGTATATAATGGATATCTCTTCGTGGCTTCAATTTGTATTTTCCTAAATATTAATGATGTTTAGCATCTTTCATTTGCATATTTGTCAGTCATATCTCTTTGATGATGGGTCTGTTTAAATGTTTTGCACATTTTTTTAAAATGAGTGGTTCATTTGCTTTTCTTTTTCTTTTTTTTTTTTTTTTGAGACGGAGTCTCGGTCTGTCGCCCAGGCTGGAGTGCAGTGACGCGATCTTGGCTCCCTGCAACCTCCGCCTCCTGGGTTCAAGAGATTCTCCTGCCTCAGCCTCCCAAGTAGCTGGGATTACAGGCACACGCCACTGTGGCCAGCTAATTTTTTGTATTTTTAGTAGAGGCGAGGTTTCGCCATGTTGGCCAGGCTGGCCTTGAACTCCTGACCTCAGGTGTTCCACCCGCCTTGGCCTCCCAAAGTGCTGGGATTATAGATGTGAGCCACTGTTCCTGGCCGGGTGGTTCGTTTTCTTACTGAGTTCATTTTGAAATTCTTTATATATGTAGCAAATCCTTTTTCCGATACACATTTGTAAATATTTTCATTCATTCTGTTATTACTTTTATATTATAAATGTGGCTTGTTTCATATATAAAAATGTTGGATTGAATTCTTGGGGGCTTTCCTTTTTAGCCCTTGTGCTGTGAATACACAAGGGAAATATTTGTGAAAGGATGGATCTAGATGTTGAGGGAGGTGGAGATCTTGGAGGATCAAGTGTAATTATCTCTCCTCAGTGACTGGAGGTACTTGTTGAGAACAGGAAGGAAGGACTGAGGGAAGAATTAAGAGGGGGGGGTGGTGGTGGTGGTGGTCAGAGTTTTTGGTTGGAGGATTTGGTATAGCAAATTCAGGGGTGGGATAATGGCTACTAGAATTGTGTAAAATAGAAAGATAAGGAGTCAGGGGGATTTAACATGAAAAGTGTTGAACCTAGCTGAAATCAAACAGGGAGCTGAAAACAACGTTAGTAACCATGTTGTTCAGCCTTTTCATTTGATAGGTAGGAGATAGCCTTAAGAGAGGGGATGCGATTTATTGAAGATTATATGCGTCATGAAGTGGCAGAGTTAGGACTTAAATTCAGATCTTTAAGGACAGTAGTGAAGGAGGGGCTCAGCCCATGTAGGAAAATACATTTGGGGGTGGGAGCAGGAGGTGGAGGAAAAACTAGAATTCTAATGGCATATGTTTTTGTTATTCTTTATATCCTTCACATAATTTATAAATATTCTTCTTGTATCTCCTCAGTATTAAGTAAAATAACAGTAACAAGTCTGGAATGACAGCAGAATTAGTGATTGAGCTGGTAATAGTTTGACCAGAAATCAAATTGGAATATATGTTGGGTCAAACAGAAAACACTAGTGATCAAGTGGGAACTCATTTTTGGCACAACATGAAAATTTGATTTTTTTTTTTTCTGTTCCTGACATCAAAAGGGAAAAGATACTAAAGACAATAAAAGATCATAGATCTGAATTTTGCTTGTTACAATTAGCTTTGAAAATACTGACTCCCAAGGTTAGGATTTACTGGGATTAGAATTGCCTTTGAATTGAAAGAGAATGATAAAAGGAAATACCTAGAAAACCTGATAGTAATAGTTATTTCATTGGATTCCTAATCTAAATCAGGCACTGTGTTAGGCTTCTTGGCATTACATTTTCTTAATCTTTCCTTAACTTTGCAGAATATTTTTGGTGACATTATGTTCCTATTTTATCAATGCAGAAATTAGGATTCAGAAAAATTAAATGATATGCTTAAGGTCATATGACTAGTAAGTGAGCTGTGTTAATCCCTAGGATTGTGTGGTGAACAAAGCTTTTTCTCCTTTCCTTTTACCAGTGCTAATTAAAGTGTCATTTGTAGACTGATACTAGTTTGCTGTTTATTACCAATTCATACAAGATAGGTGCAGAAATTGATTGTATGCACTTAGAACTTCTATAGCAATTTGACAGAATACTTTTATGAGTGTTAAGTCTAACAATAAAAAACTGGGGCTTGTATTTTATATTTCTTGTTTTTTAAAATTTCGTTTTTCTAATAATTCATTTTACTACACTTTACAAAAGTATGATTCCCTGATGGATTGGAAAGTTAACAGAAAAGGTTGCTCCTCACAGTTTGAGAAGCCCCGTCTACTACGTTGCCTCTGTGCTTTCGAGAGACTGATCAGGATGAAATTTACTTTAGTATTTCTGCTGAGTTTTGAATGGCTGGGGAGAGAAGGTCAGAGAAAAGGGAAGAGGCAGTAGGGAAAAGATGAGGCTGCAGGGGAGGAATCTTTGGGAGGACTTTGCCCTTAAGTGGTAGCAGTAAGATGAGGGCAATAAGATGAGGGGGGATGCCCTGCCTCCTTTGGTTGAAAGTAGTGTTAGGATTGTGGCGTCTTTCTGTAGAGCTCTAGCCTGTTTTTGTTGTTGTTGTTGTTTTTGTTTTTGATACGGAGTCTCGCTCTGTCACCCAGGTTGGAGTGCAGTGGTGCGATCTCGGCTCACCACAACCTCTGCCTCCTGGGTTCAAGTGATTCTCCCGCCTCAGCCTCCTGAGTAGCTGGGATTACAGATGTGTGCCACCACACCTGGCTAATTTTTGTATTTTTAGTAGAGACAGGATTTCACCACATTGGTCAGGCTGGTATTCAACTCCTGACCTCGTGATCTGCCCGCCTCGGCCTCCCAAACAAAGTGCTGGGATAACAGGCGTGAGCCACTGTGCCTGGCCTAGCCTGTTTTTTAATTACACCCAGTGGCAATTCTGGTGTTAATAGACGAGAACGAATGTAGGAAAAAGAATTTACAGAAATAAAGCAACTGGATGTAGGAGTTCAGAAAATCTAAAAACTCCTTTTCTCTCCTTAGAAATACAGACACACTCCCCTTGAAGTGTTTTCCCTTTAAGGAAAAGGCGGCAATTCTTTGGCAGGGCCAAGAGTTTTGATTGGCTCCTTCTACTGCTGTTTGCCACGAAGAATCCTGACCAGTCCAGTTTTGTTTAGAGCTGGTTTGGGAGTCAGCCGAGCTGCCAAGTTCTCTGTGCCTAATTTGAAGTGTATTAATGTTTCAGGAGTGGGCCAGATCTCTTATAGGCACCTCCTACAGTTCAGCTTTCCACGTTCCAGGAGGAAATGTGACCCTGCTGTTTCGGGAACCCCACCTCATGTAGTCTTAATTTCTCTCCGAATGTGTTTGAAGTCTTGCCAGCGTAGAGAGGGGAAGTTTAACACACTAAGAGAATACATTTTTAGGGAGCCTGCCCACAAGGTGGTCGGTCCCCTATGCCGTGGCCAAGGAAAAGGAACCCACTCATCCTTCAGGTTACTTAATATATGAGATTAAGGCCTCAGCCCATATAGGAGTAATTTTCTCTTCTTCTGGATGTGAAATGGTAAAACAGGCCCTTTAAGAACTAGACCATTTTTAGTTGAGAGGAAAACATTGATCACATTGGCTCCAGATAAGAGCAGATACTGTGTGTACTTCCTGGCAAAAACTTTGTATGTGGTTCACAGCAATTCCTGCCATTCTGGTTGTGTCTGAGGGGCTGACAACAGACAGTTCTAATCTAATCTCAAACCTTTTACTTGCTGGACTGGTTCTTAATCCCAGAAACCAGCCTGAGGTCAAGAATTGGTTCCTAATTGCCATAGGTATAAAGGTGGCGCTCCTATTGAGGGAGTTTTCAGTGTTCCTGCTCTGGTTGTCACCAGTGTGGCTTGGGAGATGGTTTATGTTGGTCTGTCCCCCCTCTATGGATATAAACTAATTGTTAAACAGTTACTGACTCCTGTAAGTTTAGACAGTTTATAGCGCCAGCCTTTAAATTTCATTGTGAAATATAATCTTCAGATTTATTAGAACAGTTTAACGGAAGAAAATAAGAGAAAGAGCTCTAAAAAGGTGTAGACTGTCAAAGAAGGCTCATGGAGGAAGCATCAGTTAGAGGACTCTCACAGTACTTTATAATTACCTCATCATTATCAAGTATTGGACTAACATTGTCTTTGAACATCTCTCTCTGTTGCCTGTAGATTATAAACTTCTTGAGGATAGGGCAGTTTCTGTTCTTTTTTTGTATTTGACTCTGGCCTTCTTGATCGATTTGGTAAATATTTATTGAGATCAATTAAAATAAGATGCTTTAAAACTGAGCACAAAGGACAAGTTACATTTCAGTAGCTTAGTAGTGAATTTAATTCTGCAGGTCTTGGTGCTGTACTTCTTTGGTGAGTTTGCTGGGCCCAGATGGCTAGGCTTGTACTTTCCTTAGACATTTTAATGGCCTGTCTTGGTTGTGATGTCTCTAAGCACTAGGAGGACAGGGAATATGGCTCATAGAAGAGGGTGCCAACTGAGAGCCTCTGTCCATTCTCTCCACCCCCACACAACTCCTTTCTGTACAGTCTTTGGTAGGTAATAACATTTCTTTAAAGTGATGATTCCTAGGTGAAACCGGAGGCCAGTTTTGTGTGTACTCTTATGTTTTATTAGGTGTGTGGGATTTGAGGAAGTTGTGGTGCTGGAAAGAATCTGCCTTGCCCCATATTACTGGTGAAAAAATAGAGACCTAGGAAGGATAAATAATTTATTCCAAGCCATATGGCTACTTAGTGGCCATCAAGACTATTGTCCAGGTCTCCTTAGTGCTAGACATTTACCACAGTACCGGGTAAGTCCCATTTTTTTTTTTTTTGAGGAAGCATTAGTAAAAATCAATTTTACAGAAACGAATATAAGCGGTTTGACTTAGGATTGTGAATGGAAACATATTTTTCCTTTTGAATGCTAGGAGAACTATGCCAGAGTTTCTTTTTTTCCTACTTTTTGCATGATTTAGAAGATAGAACACATGAAAACAGTTCCCTAAAGGAGGTGCTTCATTTAAATGCTTAAAAAAAGCAGGCCACTTCAAATTTCTAAAAATAGCATTTAAAAAACCCCAAAATGATCTAAAAAGGGATTTTAGTTGCATGAAGACTATACTGTTTGGGGGGTTTCTGGGCTCTAGGGAGGATGCTAGCTCTCTGAATGCTTTATGTTCTTATATGACTCATCTTGTTAGTGGTGACCCCAGAAGGGCAGTGGGAGAAATATGTTCCGAAGGGTGATTTGGAAGGAAGGGATGATCTGGAAGGAAGGGATGAGAAGGTTGCAGGCAGGAAAACTGAGCTAAGTGGTTTTAGAGAGTGTTTTTTTTTTTTTTTTTTTTTTTTTTAGGGAGAAAAAGAAAAAAGGAAAGGCTGCTAGGAGCTTGGTCCTAACTGATTCCAGATGGGCCTGCTACAGTACAAAGGTTTTCAGTGTGTTTGGGATGGGGCTGACCAAGAAGGCCCCCTCAGCACTTCCTGTGCAGCTCTGCAATTGTATGCACCTAATCAGAAACAGCCCTTACTGCTGGAGCTCAAGAGCAACCGTCTCATGTTGTCTTTGTGCCTCATTCTGTGAACTGCTCCCTTTGCCTGCCCTGTTTACCTCCCTCTCCTAGTCTCTTTTCCTTTCTAATCTTTTCTATATTTGTTTTCAGGGAATGTTAAAAGGAGGGGAGATATGTATATATAAACATAAACATATGTATATGTTTCTTGTGGGTTGGGAGCAGAGAAGAGAGGGAGGAAGGAATGGCCAAATTAAACGCAGATGGTGAATATTTAGGAAAGGAATTTTTTTCTGGACCTGGGAGGCATTTGCTAGAAATGGGGATTGGGAACATGAGAATGTGAATGAGACTTGGAAAAACAAGCCACTCTTTATTTTTCATTTTTTTGAATCCTGCACACTTGTCTGAATGGTTCAAAATATAACATTGCATGGGGATGGTTTATTTACATTGTAAACTGAGTATCACTGGCCCTGTGTAGCTGTGTGCCAAAGGGTGAGTGTGACAGTGACTTTAAACTTAAAGGAAGTAGGAAGGTGTTTTGCACCCACATCCCATGTAGTATTGTTGCCAGGGGAGCATACCTGGTGTGCTCTGACGTGGGCTTGAATTTGGCCGTTTTCCCACCTACTGCAGTATATCAGGCACTCTGCACAGCTTAAAAGAGGATTTTTTTGGTGACACTCAGCTGCAGGCACTATGAATTGTTCTTTTGTGCCCTCCTGATTCCACCAGGGATATATTTTATATATATACTTGATTTTCTATTTTGCTTCTATTTTGGTTGCCTGGTTAGACTGAGGGTATGCCTGGTATTGACTGTTAGTTTTTTGGGTCTAGCTGATGATTACAGAAACTCTGCCATCCCAGGGGTCCATTTAGGTCTTTGCAATTTTATTCTAATCCACTCAGCTGTTGTACTGATGTTGTTGCGTAAATGTGAGCTTATTAGGATAGACTATGTAAAAATATACTGTGTTGGCATAAAGGCCTTAGCAGCATTGCTTTGTTTTGACCTCTTCATACTTTGTGTCCCTTTTGTCCTCTCGTAAGCACCATGATCACATTTCTTCTTCTTGTTTTTTTAGATAGGGTCTCACTCTGTTGTGTTGCCCAGGCTGGAGTACAGTGGTGCAATCATGGCTCACTGCAGTCCCGAGCTCCTGGGCTCAAGCAATCCTCCTACCTCAGTCTCCAAAGTAGCTGGGACTACAGGTACATGCCAGCATGCCTGGTTAATTGAAGAGTGTGTGTGTTTTTTTTTTTTTTGAGATGGGTCTCACTGTATTGCCCAGGCTGGTCTTGAGCTCCTGACCTTGAGCAGTCCTCCTGCCTCAGCCTCCCAAAGTGCTGAGATTTCAGGCATAAGTCACTATGCCCAGCCACATTTTTTCTTGAGCTAAATGTACAATATATCCTCTGATGAAAAATTTTAGTGCTGTTTCTAGGTAGCGAGGATGTCTGGGAGATAGAGTTTGGATGCTGAAATATTTGATTTTTTTGGGATATTTTTGATGCTATAGGAATAATGTGTCAGGGTATTTGGAATTGGGATAGCATAAGACAAGTTACATGGTCACCCTTCTTGAGTGAGTCTTAGCAATATAGCATTGCAACCGACGGAGAATTATGTTCTCAATTCACCAGTAGGATCTTTCTCACTGTGATTTTTTAAAATCCCCCATTTGACTAGGTGTAAAGAAGAGAAGGTAGCTAAGATGTTGTTTGTTTTTCGAGTGGCTCTTATTTGCCAGGTACCAGACTCATGTTATCTCCTACAATTTATCAGAACTCTAGGATAAATGGCCTCAAGTCCATTTGCGGGTGAGAAAACTGCACATGCACAGTGTCACACAGCTAGCTTTGTTTCAGAGACAGCCTCAACCCATTGTGTTCTGGGCCTAAAGGTGATACATATTCTTCCACATTCTGAGTTATATATAAATTCCAAACCCTTCTCAGAAAGAAACTCCTTTCTAAGGGTAATGTGGTAGTTAAAAAGATTTTTAAAAAATCACTTTAAACTTATTTTTATTGTCATCCTTGTCCCATTTTAAGCATACTAACTTCCTGCCTCTGATATATAAAGAGCCGATGCTGGAGAGAGGAAGGAGGCAAACCATTTTGTCATGTTTATGGAGAGACCTCAAGGCTCTAAAAGCTGCTTTTATTTTTTTGAGACAAAGTTTCCCTCTGTTGCCCAGGCTGGAGTGCAGTGGTGCGATCTCGGCTCACTGCAACCTCGACCTCCTGAGTTCAAGTGATTCTTGTGCCTCAGCCTCCCAAGTAGTTGAGACTACAGAGGCGCAAGTCACCATGCCTGACGAATTTTTGTGTTTTTAGTAGAGACAGGGTTTTACCATGTTGCCAGGCTGGTCTCAAACTCCTGACCTCAAGTGATCCACCTGCCTTGGCCTCCCAAAGTGCTGGGATTACAGGCGTGAGCCACTGTGCCCGGCCATAAAAGCTGCTTTTTTTTTTAATTAATGGAAATTTTTATTGGGGGTAATTGTAGATTCTTATGCAGTTGTACAAAAGCTACTTTTGAAATGGCAGAAAGGCAGAAGTTCTGATCTAGAGGCAGGCAGGTACCTCTTTTTATCTTCTAGGGCAGTGTGCAAGGAGAGTGTATGAGGGGCTCTTGAGACCCCACTTCACTTTACTGCTCTCTGCTGTCTTTGGGATGTGCACTTGTCAAGTACTCTTAAGTGCTGTGTGCAAGAGGCACCCATTTGCAGTACTGAATTCAGGCCGTACCTTGAAATCTTGTTGATTTGCTTGAGCAGAGACAGTGTTCAGAATGTAGGGATAGATTGCCGGTGGAGACAGTAGTAGACCTTGGAGGAAAATCGTAGGAATTGATGGGGTGAAGCAACAAGATATCTTCAGTTGGGATCACTGTGAAGACTCCCTACAATGTCTTTATTTATTTACTTGTTATAATGTCTTTTTCTCCAATTCGACTGAGCTTCATGAGAGGAAGGACTATGTCTGTTTTCCACACCTGTATTCATGGTGCCTAGCACTATGGGACCATAGTAGGTGTACATTTTATGAAAGTTTGTTGAATGAATGAATGCCATGGGAAATTATGGTTCCTGTTGAAGAATTTAATCCTCAGGTCAAACCTTTGTCTGTTGTTTTGCATCAGAGGAGTGACTTTGAACATTTTCCTGATAAAAGAGTTTTAATTCCATAAGCTTCTTTTCTTCTTGTTTACTACCTTAGCTCAAGATCTTCTCTTAAGCTTACTGACAGAGTCTTGCTTTATTTCAGAAAATGTGCTTAAGACCTGGAAGCCCAGTCTGTGAAGCATCTGGTTTACCTTGACCTGTAAAATTATCAGACTGCTTCTTTTCCCTCCCGTTCTGTGTGTTTAAGAGAGGCGCATAATTCTATTTTGAGGCTTATGATAGAATAGGAGAATAAAGCAAACTCGATGACTCTGTTTACTTTAAAAACTTGTTGCTCATCTAAATTGGTTGAATGACTATCCCTTCCCTTAACTAACCCTTTCAACTTTTCATCCTGGATTGACCTTCCCTAAATTTATCTTTCATAAAAAGAGGCCATAGATATATTTGATCTCTAACCCACTGGGACTCTTTTTTAAGTTTGGCTTTTGGCTTTTTTTTTGGTAACCTTTTTCTCTAAGATCAGGAAGAAAGGGATAAGAAATTGTGGACAAGAAAATTGGAAAACACTTAAGAAAAAGTTTCGGGTTGTGTGGGTGTGTGAAAGCATATGTGTATACATATACATGTTTTTCCTTTCCTGCCCCACTGTTCTCTAGCTAGAATGACCTAGATTTTTTTTATTCTGGGAAAAATTGTATTATTTCTGGATTCTGCTGTTTCTTTTAAGTAGTTGGACTGGAAGATGCTGGACTTATAACTTACATTTTTAAGTTCTTTCTTGTACTCTTAAGAAAAGTGGTAAATGGTACGGATTTTAGATGTGTGTACTGGAAACAGTAGCACTAATAAGGAAATGCCTTTGTCCTCCTGTTCTTTGTTGAAATCAGCTTGGATAGCTGAGGATGGTGGAGGGTTATTTATTATTTTTGGGCTCCAATGTCAAAATTCTCAGTTTTATTTAAACACTCAACACAATTGATATTTGAGTGTCATGCAATTATTAGCTAAGGTTAGTATTCACTTAGGTTAGGAAACATCTCTTACCATTTTCATCTCTTGTAGCACCTAACACAGCCCTGGGTGCATACGAGGCACTTGATAAAAGCTTGATGAGTTTAATTTAATGTAATCTTGCTTAATTCATAGATTGAGTTGTTTGACCTATTAGGTGGAAGAAAACATCATTGTCCTTTTTTTTTTTTGGTAGGGTATTTTTTTTTTTTAATTTTTTATTTTGAGACAAGGTCTCGCTCTGTTGCCCAGGCTAGAGTGCGGTGGCACAGCCTCCTGAAGTGCTAGGATTATAGGAAAATTCACATTTTAAATGCTACTTTATGAAAGTTTCTAAAAGAAAACAAAGAAGAATGTTTTCATGATATTCTTTACTTGAACTGGATATAAATGCTGACTATAAAGGAAAAAATGATGATTTGACTACATCAAACTTAGGAATTATCTGTTCATTAAAAGACGCCATTAAGAAAGTAAAGCTAGATGTGGTGGTGCACACCTGTATTCTTAGCTACTTGGGAGGGAGGCTGAGGCAGGAGGATTGCTTTAGACCAGGAGTTAAAGATCAGCCTGGGCAACAACATAGTAAGACCTCATCTCTACAATTTTTTTTTTTTTTAAAGTTGACTGCGCATAATGCCATGTGCCTATTGTTCCAACTACTCCAGAGTCTGAGGAAGGAGGATTGCTTGAGCTTAGGAGTTCAAGGCTGCAGTGAGCTATGATTGCACCACTACACTCCAGCCTGGGCAACAGAGCAAGACCCTGTCTTTTGGAGGGGGAAAAATTATATGTATATAAAAGAAAGTAAAAAGGCAAACTACAAAGTAGGAGAAAGTATTTGTAGTATAGGGATCTGGCTAGTCTCTAGAATATCTAAATAACAACTACAAACCCATATATAAAAGAAGTTCTTTTAATGAATCTTTTGAACAACCCAGTAGCAAAATGGGCAAAATATTTGAGTAGTTACTTCACAAAAGATGATCTCCAAATGTTCCAAAAAATGGTCAGGATCGTTAATCATCAGGCTAAAGCAAATAACCACGATGAGATATTATCACACTACCTCCAGAATGACTAAAATGAAAAAGGCAGACATTACCAAGCATTAGTGAGGACGTTCAGCATCTGGAACCCTCATGTACTGGTGGTAGGAATGTAAATTGGTACAACTTTGGAAAACTGGCAGTTGGTAGTATCTACCAAAGCTCAACGTAAGTGTACCCTATAACCAGTCATTCCACTCCTAGGCATACCCAACCGAAATGTATACATGTGTGCACTGAAAGACATGTGCAAGGATTTTTAGGAATAGCCTCAAGCTGGAAATGGCACAGAGGCCTTTCAACATTACTGAAATATTTTTCAGTAAATTATGATATATTTATAAGATGGAATACACTCAACAGATGGATCAGTTTTACAGATATAATGTGGAGTGAAAGAAGCCAACACAAAAGAATGCATAATGTGCAATTCCATTAATACAAACTTCAAAACAGGCAGAGTGAATTTATGGTGTTAAATAAAGTCATTGTGGGCTGGTGGGAGTGACTTTGCAAAGGCACAGGATGGGCTTCTGTAGTGCTGGTAATGTCCTATTTCTTGGCCTAGGTGTTAGTTACATGGCAGGGGGCGGGGGGATGGTCACTTTGTGAAAATTCATTGAGTTATGCACTTAGGTTTTTTGCCTATTTCTGTATATGTAATCGCTTTGGTAGAAAGTTTACTTTCTTCTACTTGCGTTCTGTGATTGCTACAGCTGATAGATAGCTTTCCCTTCATACACATACTGATCCTTTTCCTGTCGAGCTTGTAGGATGTGAGTGTGCACATACATTTTTGTGTTTATGTGTTGGGGTGTTATGTGGGGATGAAGGTGCTTTTTAAAGTTAATGTAAATTTGCTTGTCAGATATTCAACATGCTGTTTCAAACAGCCACAGGAAAGTAGAATTGATGAATAAGCTTCATTGACCACTTTTTAAACTAATTCTCCAAGAATAAGAAGGACATTTTCATTCTACCTAATAAGGCAGCAGATTTGGATTTTGCTCTGCAGACAAAAGAACCTCTTCATTGAGGGTCTCAGCCACTAACAGCTTCATTTTCAGAAGGATGTACCTCATTTTGGCCATTATTCTTATCATGGAGACTATGAGGAGAACAAATCTCCATAATATTAATTTTTTTCCCCCCTTTTACTCTGTGGAAATCTAACTCAAAGTAAGGCATTTTAGGAAAACCTAATTTGGGTTAGGTAGAAAATCTAAAAGATGTTGCCTTGCCTTCTCTTAGCTGGTCATATCTCTCAATTCTGAACCTGGCCTTAGTAAAATTCTTCAAAGTTCAAGTTTGTTATGTTGTCTTATGACCATCCCTTTGTAAATCTTTGTTCTCCCTCCATGGAATGCTCTTACCTTCCTCATTTACTTAAATGAACTCCTGCTCATTCTCCATGGCATCTTCTAAAAGTAGCCTTTCCTTCTGTGTGCTGTCACCATACCTATATACACCTTGGCTATATTGAATACCACGCATAGCTCTATTTATTTGTTCTTTGGGGCCAGCCTTTTGAGATTATCGACTGGTGTGTGGTAAGTATTCAGTAAGTATTGGAAGAAAGAATGGATGATTGAAAATATTATTTGAAAGACAATAACTATTTTCTAAAGAATAAAATCTGATTATAATATTTGACATCAGTAGATACATTTTTTTTCCAGAAAAGGTGATTGTTTGCCTTAATTTCCGAGTAAAAAAGGATATATGTTTACAACAGGGTGTATGTTGTGGCTGTAGGAGAGAATGATGCTAACTGGTTCACATGGGTAGCAGACACGTGACCTTGGCCTCTTTAGCATGGTCCTCTAATCAGCTGATTTAATTTTAGTGGAATCCCTGAAGAAATGCTCTGGTTCTATATGTGGAATGTAGAAATCATAAATCTAATGTATAGATCCTGACTGCATTAGGGTTTGTGGATTAAAACCAACAAATAGACTGTGTAGGTATTATGACATTATAACTGGGCCAGTGTAGGCATTATGACAGTGATAATTTTTTTCATCTCAAATATTATGAAATTAATTCCAGAATGTTATCTGAAGTTTTGTCATTTCATTTCAGCATGTAATTTCTCAAGCCAATTTTAATTTAAAAAGATCTGAGTAGAATCATTGCCGTTTGTCCAGAAGTTTAGAATAATAGGATTAGAATAATAAATTAATAAGTATTGAGTGCCTACTTAGAGTTTAATACTGTTAGTAATACATAAAAAGTATGACTTTGACCTTGATGTCAAGTGTCCTATATTTTATCGATGGCATAAGAGAACACAGATGTAAAATGATTTCTAGATGTTTTTTTCCAACCCTCACTATCTGAAAATAGGAAGCTAAGTGGAAAAATGCACAGGCTTTGGAATCCAAACAGATCTGGGTTAGAATCCTGGCTTTTTAAAAAAAATGAAATAATGAGTATATAACCATGGTCACCTTGACATCACTGGAACTCTGTTTCTGTGTTTGCAAAGTGGAGTAAGAATGTATACTAGGCAGGGCATAGTGGCTCACACCTGTAATCCCAGCACTTTGGAAGGCCGAGGTGTGGAAATCGACTGAGGTCAGGAGTTCGAGACCAGCCTGGCCAATATGGTGTAACCCCATCTGTACTAAAAATACAAAAATTACCCAGGCCCGGTGGCGCTTGCCTGTAATCCCAGCTACTCAGGAGGCTGAGGCAGGAGAATTGCTTGAATCCGGGAGGCAGAGGTTGCAGTGAGCTGAGATGGCACGACCGCACTCCAGCCTGGGCGACAGAGTGAGACTCCATTGCAAAAACAACAACAACAACAACAAAAAGAATATATACTAGTGTTGGTGTTTTTATTTTTTTGAAATAGCGATGACACATATAAAACTCTTGGAACGTAATAAGTGCTCTTAATGTACGTTTGAGTCAAAGAGTAGATAAATGGAGCTTTGTTTTGCAACTTTCCACTTAGTCTAGGCCATTGCTGATAGATTTCTTCATAATAAGTCAAGTTTAGTAATTGAGTTGATGGGCACTCTCAGAAACTGCTTTAGTCTCCCTCTTGTAGAATAAGGTGACTGTGCTTATTATACTTAATAATTATTAGTGCTTTTAATACTAATTAATTATTAGTGCTTATCATACTTAATACTTAGCCAGTGGAACCATGGTGTCCATAGGAATGCTTTCACACAAGGAATGGCTTGTTAAGGTCAACAAGGAGCGAAATAAGAAAACAAATATCTCAGAGATGGGCTAATCATATTGTCCCCCACCCCGCACTGCAATGTGGGTTTCAGTTGTTAGCATGTGCTTCATCCTTTGCTGTTTTCCACAACAGTTATAAAGCTTTTTCTAGATGCCTGTGTGTTAACTAGAGGCATCTTGACTCTTTTGACTTCTCTAATTGTTCTAAATTGTTTAAGTTTTCTGTGGGGTAGATGACTGTTATTATACTAAATTATTCTTCTTTCCTGTCTTTTTTTTTTTTTTTTTTTTTTTTTTTTGCTGGAGAGTTGGTGCCCTGGAGTTGAGTCTCTGCTTTGCAAACTGAAAATACAATTTTCCTGTGTGTGCCTTATTTTTTTCATTCCTTTTCTCCCTTTCCTACTACAAGGCTCTGACCTGCTTGGAGCCCTTATTACTTGGTCACAATTGATACTTTGTCCTTCAGAGTCACATAGGACATAGCCACTGCGTTGATTCAGTGCTCAGCTATCAAATATGGCTCTGAGAAGGAATTACTTCTCTAGAATGCAAAGTGGGCATCTGAGCCAGAGAATGAAGCCCTGGTCCATATTTAGTCATTATTTAGGGAGAGTGAGGAGTAACAATTTCAAAATTAGAGTTTGGATTAAGCAAAGAAAATACTAGTCACAAATTGGCTGGTGTATGAGGTGAGTAGAGCTGGATTTTTACCAGAAGTAGAAACCTTTGTAGGAACTGCCTGTGGTTCAAGAAGTTATGTATATTTTATGGTATATCTATGATTATGAAAGGATAATTTTCTAAAAGTTTATGTTCTTCCTCTGGGGATTGTTAACATCTGTTAATATCCACAGGAATTTTACTAATAATAATGCCAACTTACTCTTGATTCAGTCCCTTTGACACAGGGACCCAAACTAATTTACATTAATTTTGTCAGTAATTCTTATAATATCCCTGTGTGGGAGCTGCTTTTTAGATGAGGTATGTGAGAATTTGTTAAGTTTA
Source organism: Homo sapiens (assembly GCF_000001405.40). Lineage (NCBI taxonomy): Eukaryota > Metazoa > Chordata > Mammalia > Primates > Hominidae > Homo > Homo sapiens. Next base: position 35,962,350 of record NC_000022.11, on the reverse strand, counting down.
CATAGTGGGTCAGTCCCTTGGATGGAAAGTTGGACCCAGGATTTGTGCTTCCAGGCTTAGTGTGTTTGATCACTGAAGTGTGCAGTCTTTTTACCTAATTCTCCTCCCCATTTATTCTTCCTATGATGGAGGAAATCATATCAAGGAAATAGCAGGAGAATTCCATCTTCTAAGAGGTTAAAGACTTTTCTGCCTTGAGGCGTGGAGTTCCCAATCCTTGGCTTAGGATGGAAGGAAACAGCGGAACACTGTGATGTTCAGCTGAAATGACCCAACTGTTTTTTTGCATAGTTTTTTGTTCTCTTTTTAAAAATTCTCCTGTTGGGAGGAGGTGAATGTGAGAATTTTCTCTCTGCCAATCTTATATGTGAGGCAGGTGGCTTGGTTGTTTTTAATGCTCAGCAGATATCACTACTTGCTTTTGGGTTGGGGACCAGAGAGGAGGAGGTGAAGCAGCCACTTTTGGGTGGGGTTGAGAGGAGGGTACAATGTTGGAAGGAGGACATTTCTCTGTGTTTTCTTAGTCATAGGACTCTGAATCCCAAGTAGCTAAATTTAGCTCAGGTTCCTGTTGAAAGCATCGTCTTTTTGGGGCGGGTGGTGTGGGGAGAACGGAAAACCTTTTTGTGTATCCTGCTCCATGAAGCCAATAGGGAAGCAGGAGGAGGTGAGGTTACCATGGAGATGGTAGCTGTGTGCAAGGGGAGAGCAGCAGGGTTTAGAATTCCAGGAAGGAAGAGAGAGTGATGTCATCAGATTCCATGGACCAGCCCAGGAACCCCTGTGAGGTTGGTGGGGAGTTGGGTGTGTGGGGGGTGGTGGAGTGGGAGTTTGTGCAGGGGAATTGTGGCTTCAGTAAGGTGTGGGGAGTCCAGTTCAAGCAGAGAGGTCGGTCGTGTGGAATTGTGCTGAGCTGCATTAATGCCTGATTTAAAAAAAAATCTGGAAACCATTCTGAATTTGCAGAGTATTTTCTTTGTTGAAAGAAGACATTTATTTAACAAAGGAGCTCATCTAGATGTAGCAATGTAATATCTTTTTATAGTTGTATCCCTGAAGTATTTGTGTGTGCCTTTATCCCTTGTATGTGAGGGTATTTGTGTGCATATTTTAGTATATAGTTGCCTTTGTACAATACCTTTTATGGTGCTGCATGCAGTTAAATGCTTCATTAATGCCTGCTGATGGTATTTTTTTTATATGGATGGGTGTATATAAATAAAACACACTTAAAAATAATCTGAAAAGAATATCAAAGCAGTTGCTTTTTCAGCAGAAAGGAAAACTGCATGCTTCAAGACAGTTGTTCTGAACATATGCATGTTTGTGCTGATAGTGAAGGGCAAATGTGTTTCTTTTGGTATGACTAAGAGGCTGCTTTTTTTTTTTAAACAAATATAACAGAACCTGTGCATCCAAATGAATATTGCCCTTCAAAATAGTCACCTTGGTTGGTGATACAACCATTGCGCAAAACCTGAGGAACTCTCATTCGGAATCGGCTTTAGAGATGAGTGATGAGGAAAACGTTTTCAATACCTAACACTGAATTTTTTTATTTAAAAAAATACCTACCTAGGTTTTTGAAAGACACTAGGTTTCTTCGAATTGGCTCTTCGTGATTTTGTGGTGTTGTCAAAAAGTCAAATCTGTGCTCAAATGGTGAGCTTTTACCCCATTTGAAGATACTTAAAGTCATGGGTTTAGGCTCTGAAGGCATTTTCATTTTCAGATCAAGGGCTCTTTAAATGTTTAGTTTAGCAGTGGCCGTGTTTTGAATGATGGTAGCATCTGAGGAATAAGAACATAGCCTTCCCAGGGCGACATCTTCTGAGGTGACCCATTTGGATTTATTTGTTCAAGTGTGTCTGTTAAAATCAGTGACATTACCATTGGGTAATGTGGGAAGCAGCTTTAGATGGTGTGTCTGAGGGCACAGACTCTTTGAAATCGGGTTGGTTCAAGTCTGAACCCCTGTTCTGCAGTTCACTCACTGACCTTGGACAAGTTAGTCTCTTGGTGCGTTGGCTTCCTCATGTGTAAAATGGGAATGATAGTGCTGTGAGTACCAACCTCACAGTGTGGTTTGAGGACTAAGTAAGCTAATATATAAAGCTCTTAGACATTTGGTGTGTTCTCAGTCAGTGCTTGCTGTGATTATTGTCGGTAATAATTATATATTTCTTTGAATTACAGAATTCTGAGGTAGAATGTGCCTGGAGATAGTATAGCTCAGTAGTCCCTGTTCTGTACAGTTGGCGTATTGTATCTGTGGGGTCCACATCTGTGCATTCAACCAACCACGGATTGAAAATAATTCAGAAAAAAAATAACAATGCAACAATAAAAATAATACAAATAAAAATACTAAATAACTACGTAGCATTTACACTGTATTAGGTATTATAAGTGATCTGGAGATGATTTAAAATCTCTGGGAGGATATACATAGGTTATATGTAAATACTGTGCTATTATACATCAGGGACTTGAGCATCTGTGGATTTTGGTGTCTGAGAGGGGTCCTCAAAACAGTCCCCCATGGACATCAAGGGATGACTGTATTGAAGTCAACCTGGACCTCATTCCAGACACTACTGAATCAAGGAGGGAAATCTGTAGTTTTTAGATTATTCCCAGGTGATTCAAATGATCGGTCAAGATTGGGAACTATTGAGTATAATCTGTTTACAGTATGGCCCCAGCACTAGAAGCTTCATTTCCTGGTAGATGCAGAAATCTCAGACGCCACTGTAGACCTACTGAATCAGAATCTACATTTTAACAAGATACCTAGTGACCTGTCTGCATGCTAACATTTGAGAAGCACTGCTTTTCTTCTACCAATGGGAATAATTGGGTGATAACCGCAGGTTAAAGATGAATTATCTCTCCATTTTTCCCATTGCTGGAAGGGAAACAGTGTGGCTAAACCAGTGTATAGATAATCATACACTTACCTTCCCTATTTCTTGGCCTAGGGGTAAATGCTTTTCTGGACTAAACTGCTGCGTAACATGTAACAGAAAGAACAGTTATAATTATGGCTCTGGCTCTACTGTTTACTAGCTATTTGGCCTGGATCCAGTCACTTAATCTCTCTGAGTCTGACTCTCCTCACCTGATAATGGAAATAATACCCAGAAATAATGTATATCAATTATCTAGCGCATTGCAGTGCCTGCATATGTCACTGGCTTTTCCTTTTCCCTTGCCTTCAACCTTTCATTGATAAATCTGTAGTGTAGTTCTAGTCCCTTAGAAAGGGCCACCAGTGGAGTCTCAGTACCATCTCATCTCTGTGGGCTCTTCTTGCCCTTCTCCCAGCTATCTTGAGTATTTAATTGTACTTGCAGAAAACTAAGCTTTACACAATATATATATATATATAGTTTTCTCTATCTGTTTCTGCAAAATGCCTTTTACTTAATGGAGACTATTATCTAAGAGGGCTAGAAGATGAAGAACTAAAGGATTTGAGTAATTGAGTTGATACAGGAATCAAAGTATAACGAGATATGACAGGCAGCTCTTTTATGAATTCTTAATAGTTGACCATTTGTTTAAAAAAATGTAATTCCTGGTTTTTAAAACTTGGCATCAAGAAAAAAAATCCTCGGTAGGTTTGAAGTTGTTTGAAGTCTTTTAGATTGGTTCCAAGCAAGAATTAACGTGGTAATTATCAGAAGATCACTGAATTGGTAAGTAATGAGCATTATCTTCTTTCTGACCAGGGAATTAATACAATAAAAGGAAGTTCAGGGACTTGCTCTGAGGACACTAGTAGTAGGTGGCAGAGAGTCTAGGTCAGAGAGTTGGCAGTTGTAGCCAGTAGGGCATTGGAAGCAACAGCAGCAGGAGGAAATAGAAAAGTCCAGTTTTACCCAGATCTTAATGGACTTAGGGATAGGCAGGATTGTGAACTCAAAGCATATAATAAAAATTGTTACAATAATAGTTTTTCTCTATGGGGTAGGTATACTTTCAGGTGCTTTGTATACCTTGTGCCTAAACTTAACATCCTTGCAAGGTGTAGACATGATCACATATATTTTATAGACCAGAAAATAAAATTGAGGCCCAGAAAGGTGAGTAACTTGTCCTAAGTTGTTCCTCTAATAAACACCAGAGCTGGTTTAACATCATGTTCAATAGCAATGTGAGTGAAGAGACTGTTATAAAACTCAATTGAAATAATGTCTATCAATTAAAATAAAATTTATTATTTTGTCTATAATGACTTTTTTTGGGGTAGAATTGTTAATTTAAATTTAGACTGTGATAGTCAACTCAGCCTGTCTTAAAGGGACTTTTTTGAATGTTGCAGAATGATCCTTTGAAATGTATTTCTTTTATACTCTGAGGCTAATTAAGAGGTATCTTTTGTTTTTTTAAATGCCAAAGCTTGTGAAGTCTTCAGTTTAGTGAAACACCAGTTTAAATTGAAATATCACAACACAAACTGATTTGTTGGTGGTTATCAATTGGCATATTTAGTCATAATGAGTATTCACATAATTGTGTCTGTTAGTCTGTTATTCCATTCAGATCCAGATGTAGATAATTATCAATGATTGCACAGAGTGAATCATGTATTTAGACAGATTTCTAAGTTACGGTTGGAAGAACTACAAATGAGAGGACTTGGGTTCCAGGCCTGTTTTTGTGACCTTGGACATGTCACTTGAAACTCAAGGGAATGAACCTGAGTTTCCATTATCAATCAAAAGAGAATAATGTTATCTATCTAACAGAATTGTTATGAGTAGGAGGATGTGCTTGACACCAATTTCTGCTTCTTAGACTAGCTCTGTAACCTTGAGAAAGACATTTAAAACCTTGTGGTACATTGGTTTTCTTATCTGTAAGGTCAGTCTGTGCTATGTGAATATGGTTGCAAGGTAAGGAGGGTGCAAGTAAAGTAGCTGAATTAGAATTAGATGATCCCTATGGGTCCCCTCATAATCTGTGGTCCTGTACTAGTCAGAACTGCCTGTGTGTTGGTATGTGGTGAAGTGTTACATACAACTAAGATACTGTTTCTTCTTATTATTATTGTTAACAGGGCCACCCCATTAAGGAACAGGCACTGTGTAAGATATTGCATGTATTACCTCAATCCTTGTAACAATCCTATGAGGTAGGTAGTATTCTCATTTAAAGATGGAAGAATTTGAGGCTGAGAGATGAATTAGCTTTCCACAGCCATAGAGCTAGTTGGTTACCAGAGACGTAGATCAGTGTGATTCTAATAACTGTACTTTCCCCCATACCTCACTACACATGCTACTGTGACAGGCCAAAACTAGGACATGGGCTTATTATGCCACAAACTGCCTGTACCAAAGAATGTAATGACGACTGAGTAGTTATGTTCTTCACCACCAAACACTTAACAGTTAAAGAAGGGGAGAAAGACAGTTTCACTTCAGTGTTCCTGCTGAAGTAGTAAAAATTATTACTATTACTAATTCTCCATCCTCGGTTATGAATCTTTTAAATAATCTCTTTGGCAAAATGGGTAATACAAATAAAGCACTTCTGCTGCATACTAAGTATGACAGTTATCTAAAGGAAAACTGCTTCTGTGATTGAGTTGCCAGCTGAACTTTTTTCATGGGATGCCATTTTTATTTGAAAGAACAACTGATAGACTATGGTATTCGGACGTTTTATTAAAAATGAATGAGGTGGCCAGGCGCAGTGGCTCACACCTGTAATCCCAGCACTTTGGGAGGCTGAGGCGGGGGATCATGAGGTCAGGAGATCGAGACCATCCTGGCCAACATGGTGAAACCCCGTCTCTACTAAAAATACAAAAATTAGCCGGGTGTGCTGGCATGTGCCTGTAGTCCCAGCTACCTGGGAGGCTGAGGTGGGAAAATTGCTTGAACCCAGGAGGTGGAGGTTGCTGTGAGCTGAGATTGTACCATTGCACTCCAGGCTGGGCAACAGAGCAGGACCCTGTCTTAATTAAAAAAAAAAAAATGAAGCAAGCCTGTCATTTTAAGGAAAACTGATATTTGTGGCCAGTGATAAAATTTGAACTTTCAAGCAAAAACTAGAGTTTTGGAAAACTTGTATCCTGGCCTATGAGCTTGACAGCTCTGAACCTTAAAAGACTTTTCAGATGAGATTGGTGGTGATATTAGTGAATGTGAATTTTTTGATGTTATATAATGAGATGTGTCAACAGTTGGAAGATCTTTATAACTTAGTGAACTTGTATTTTATAAATGAACAACACATAATGTTACAAAATCATGCATAGGCAAAAAAAATCTATTCCAAGTACAAGATCAATGAATTTTTATATTAACAGTATGAAAAAATTCATTGATAAGGTTTCACATGCCACATTGCAACTAACCTTTGGTACAGTATTAAAGAAGAATATCTAGAGATAGGCGAAAAGGCTATTAAAATACCTTGCCTCTTCCAGATACATATCCATGGAATGCCAAATTTCTTTCTTATACTTCAGAATAATATTGAAACAGATTGAATGCAGAAGCAGGTATGAGAATCCAGCCATCCTCCATTCCATCTCCAATCCCCAGGCCACAGTCTGGTACTGGCTTGTGGCCTGTTAGGAACCAGGCCACACGGCAGGAGGTGAGCAGCAAGCACTACTGCCTGAGCACCACATCCTATCAGATCAGTGGCGGCATTAGATTCTCATAAGAGTGCATACCCTACTGTGAACTGCGCGTGCGAGGGATCTAGGTTGCCTGTTCCATCGAATGCCTGATGACTTGAGGTGGAACAGTTTCATCTTGAAACTATCCCCACCCTACCCCACCCCCCATGGAAAAATTATCTCCCATGAAACCAGTCCCTGTGCCAAAAAGATTGGGGACCACTGTTCTATTAAGTTGGATGTTAAAAATATTTGTAGAAATGTAAAATAATGATACTCTTCTCACTGGTTTAGTTTACAAACTAAACCATTTTCATAAAATATTTTTTAGGCTAATATAATGGTTGGTTTATTATTGATACTTTTAAAGGAATTAACATATTTTTAAAAGTACTCAGTTTTAGTTTCTCATAGGAAAATCGCAGTAGTTATAACCACAGAAGCAAAAGCTCTTTGGAGTCTTTGGTAATTTTTTAAAGTGTTAAGGTATTCTGAAATCAAAAAAGTTTGAGAATTGCAGCTCTAGTTCTCTAATCTTTCATTTCAGTAGTGGTTGAAACCTCTTAAATTGGTTCTTTAAGTCATGAATGGATCTTGACCCACAAATTGAAAGAGCGTGGGCTAGAGTTAGAGGATTACATTGTGAAGGGAGGTGGGATTTTGCTGAATTTTGCTTGAGTTGATGTTTGAGAACGTGCCAAGGTGTGAAGTAAATTGAGTAAAGTTTCTATCTGGAAATTAGCTATTTGTGGTCATCCTCCAAACCCCATTCAAGTCTTACCTACTGTGAGTCTCCTCTTTGTAATTTCTTTATGCCTTTCTCACTTGATTATCAACCATGTACACTGGTTCTCTCTGGGCCATACATTTACATTTTATTACATGGTTCATATTGTATTTGTTTACATGCCTCTTTCCCTTACTAGACTGTGAGTTCTTTTGAGAAAAGAATCCCTAGCTTATTTTCCTTTGCATTCCTACCAAGTTGCAGACACATAAACGTCCCTCAGTAAATGTTTGCTGAAGGAGTAAATGAGAAGAAAAAGAGAATAACCAAGTGGGGCAAGGCTTGGGATATTTGGAACCTAATCATGTAAGCAATGGAGGGCCATTACTATGGAAGTGGTATGAGTGGTGTTTTAGGTAGTTAACCCTGGCCCTGGTAAGAAAGCTGGGCAGGGGTGGATGGAGGCTAGCTCTTAGCTGGACCAGCCAAGAGACTATTAGAGTAATTTAAGCTTGAAGTGATCCAGGCCTGGATTAAGATGAGTGCTTTCGCCATAGATAATAAGGCATACATCCTGAATCCTGAGGAGTATTTGCAAAAACAGAAACAATACCATCCATACTGCTTGACAGTTGTTGTGTACTTATGCTGAATTCTGTGTTAAGAGCTTTATGTATATTGTTTCGTTTAATCTTCACAGCTTCCCTGAGGTAGGTGTTGTTATTATCTCCATTTTTTTCTAGTTAAGTACAAATAATACATGTTCATTTGTTGAACAGTTAGAAAATACAGATAAGAAACCTCCTCCCCCCACAAAGACATATATCACTCATAAATCCAAATTTAACACCAAGACATATGACCACTATAAACATTTTGGGATATATCCTTCCAGACATAAAAAAACATATATATTGTGTGTTATATATGCCTGAATATGAGGAAACCATGAATATAAGGCCTTAATGCTGTTTTTCCATTGAAAGGAAGGGCTAACCTATTAAGCGTTTAGGGAAATAGGCAAATATCTACTTAAAATATTTATTTATGTAATTTAGAAACATTTTATCTTTTTGGGAAAAAATGTGTATATGCTCTACTGCATCAGTATCTGTATTGTTGCTTAGAACCACTTTGAATCTTCAGTTTTCCAGAGTATATATTGAGATACAGCACTTTTTTGTGTCTATATTTATTGTAGTCACTGATGATTTTATCTCAAGCTGTAAGTACTTATTCAAATAACAACAGGAAGTTTCTTCATTTGTACTGTGGTGTATACTGCATTGCTTTTAAAAAAAATGTTAATGGAGGTTAAATTCATATAACATAAAATTAAACTTTTAAAAAAGTGAACAATTTGGTGGCATTTAATACGTTCACAGTGCTGTACAACCACTATCTCCATGTAGCTTACATTTTTACATCACCCTCAATGGATACATCACCCGTATCCATTAAGCAATCATCCTGTCTTTCCCCTTCCCTGCTGGCAACCACCAATCTGCTTTCTCTTTTGATGAATTTACCTGTTCTGGAGATTTTATATAAATGGAGTCATATAATATATGGCCTTTTATGTCTGGCTTCTTTCACTTAGTACTGTGTGTTTTCATTGTTTATCCATGTTGTAGCATATATCAGTACTTCTTTCCTTTTTATAACTGAATGATATTCCTTTGTGTGTATATAGCACAATTTGTTTATCTGTTTATCCCTTAATGGACGTTTGGGTTTCCATCCTTTGGCTTTTTTTTTTTTTTTTTTTTTTTTGAGATGGAGTCCCACTCTGTCGCCCAGGCTGGAGCGCAGTGGTGTGATCTCTGCTCACTGCAAGCTCTGCCTCCCAAGTTCATGCCATTCTCCTGCCTCAGCCTCCCAAGCAGCTGGAACTACAGGCACCCGCCACCAGGCCCAGCTAATTTTTTGTATTTTTAGTAGAGATGGGATTTCACCGTGTTAGCCAGGATGGTCTCAATCTCCTGACCTCGTGATCCGCCCGCCACAGCCTCCCAAAATTCTGGGATTACAGGTGTGAGCCACTGCACCCAGCCCATCCTTTGGCTATTGTGAGTAGTGTTGCCATGAACATCTGTGTACAAGTATTGGTTTTGAGTACCTGTTTTCCAGTTCTTTGGGTATATACCTAGGAGTGGAATTGCTGGGTCATATGGTAGCTCTATATTTAACTTTTTGAAGAACTGCCAATCTCTTTTCCACAGCAGCTGCTCCATTTTACATTCCCACCAGCAAAGTACAAGTATTTGTCAATTTATTTTTAATGAAGAACACAATAAGACAGGGAAAGTAAAGAGGAAGTATGTGTAGCCTTTGAGTCTATTAGAGCTCTGTATCTCAGATTTTGCTGATGGACTTATTAAATATTTATTTAGCATCACTTCAGCACTAAATGAAATTTAGCTCAGGGAAATGAATCTAATCTGTTTCAAGTAGTGAACAGACTAAGAAGTGATGATCAGAGGAATGAAGGAATGGAAATTTAAATAGACTAAAGTTCCTTGAGGGCAAAGGCCTTATTCATCTTTGTGTCCTCAGCATTTAACAAAGTACTTGGTGTATTATAGGTTTTTTTGGGGGGTCTCCAAGACTACCCTAGGTCCAGTGAATTATCTAGGACTTATGGAACTCAGATGTAGTCATACTTATAGCTATGCTTTATACTAGTAAAAGGCTATAAAGCAATGTCAGCAAAGAAAAAAGGTGCATGCGGTGAAGTCCAGAGGAAACCTGACTCAAGCTTCCAAAAGTCCTTTCCAAGTGGAGTCACAGGACTTGCTTGATTCCTCCAGCAGTAAGTTGTAACAGTGTTGTCTACCAGGGAAGCTTGTTACAGACTTAGTGCTGAGATTTTTTGGCTGGGGATGGTGAAGGGGGCTGTTCACATAAGCACCCTAACCCTAGCACAAATCAAAATTCCAGACTCCCGAAAGGAAAGCAGGCATTAACAGATAAGAGCCACTCTGATCAGTTCTGGGGATAGAACCCTTGTGAAATCTTCAGTTCTCAGATACTAGCTAAGGCCAACCTTAGCAGTCAGACCTGCTACGTTAATTCTTTTTCACATAGATGTTCAGTTTCTTTAAAAAATATGTTCTTAGGTCTGTGAAGAAAAATAAACACCATAGTAGAAAGCCAGCAGGGACTTTAATGTAAGACAGACCTGGATTTGTAATATGGGGGAAAAATTGTATAGTTTTTCTGAGCCTCAGTTTCCTTACTATAAAGTGATATATCACAGGGTTTTAGTGAGAATTAAAAGTGATAATGTTTATAAAACACTAGGCATAATGTCTGTCTTATATATAGTAAGTAGCTGTCAGCATTTTTTTTCAGCTCACTTGTATCAGTCCAGGTCCAGCCAGGAGAGAGAGACTACACAGTACTTTGGACAGGGCATTTAATATAAAGAATTATTTACCTCCAGGCGCAGTGGCTTATGCCTGTAATCCCAGCACTTTGGGAGGCCAAGGCAGGCGGATCACCTGTGGTTGGGAGTTCAAAACCAGCCTGACCAACATAGAGAAACCCCGTCTCTACTAAAAATACAGAATTAGCCGGGTGTGGTGGCACATGCCTGTAATCCCAGCTACTCAGGAGGCTGAGGCAGGAGAATCGCTTGAACCCGGAAGGTGGAGGTTGCAGTGAGCCAAGATCACGCCACTGCACTCCAGCCTGGGCAACGAGCAAAACTCCGTCTCAAAAAAAAAAAAAAAAAAAAAAAGGGCCGGGTGCGGTAATCCCAGCACTTTGGGAGGCCAAGGCAGGCGGAACACGAGGTCAGGAGATTGAGACCATCCTGGCTAACACGGTGAAACCCCGTCTCTACTAAAAATACAAAAAATTTAGCTGGGCGTGGTGGCACGCGCCTGTAATCCCAGCTACCTGGGAGGCTGAGGCAGGAGAATGGCATGAACCCGGGAGGTGGAACTTGCAGTGAGCTGTGATTGTACCACTGCACTCCAGCCTGGGCAACAGAGTGAGACTCTATCTCCAAAAAAAAAAAAAAAAAGAATTCTTTACCATAAGAGGAGACTGAAATAATGAGAAATTGACTCCTAGGAAGAAAACTCTAAATAACAGCAGATATAGATCTGCTGTATCTATAATAAGAAATATAATAATATGATTGATGTGTGACAAAATAGAATTAGTATAATAGCAGCTAAGCAGCTACCCCGGGACCGAGATATCATACCCAAAGAGCCGTCTCCCTCAATACCACCAAACACTTCCTGGCCGAGAGACTGAAATCTGAGGGGCTTTGGTGGAGAAGGCATGACTTTGACTCTCAGAATGGCAGAGAAGTAAGTCCCTATGGACTTATACCAGCAGAACTTGCTGGAAATCTGTCCTTTTGAAGTTGCCAAAAACTACCCTCTAGGATACTTGGGAAAGCTCTTCACAAGGAGTTGTCTCACCAGAGGCACTTTGCTGCCATATGACAACATGAAAAGGTTTACTGAGGGAAGCTACTAGCTGCTGGCTGCTGTCCATTGTAGGAGCTAGGATGGAGGGAAACTGCTTATCCTGTAAGAACCTGCTAGGCAAGCACAATGGGACCTGGAAGCGAAATGCTTTCCTCCTACAGTGTATCTCCTGTGTCCTCTATGGGTAAAGCTTGACATCATGCATGCTTTGCAAAGGAAAAGTATTTAAAGGGCCCAGGTTCATTTTCACACAGCCGGCAAAAAAGGTAAATTTGGAGCTGATAATCAATTAATTGATAACCAGTATATAGATGGAATGGATGTTTAATTCTAAATCCTCAGAAAACAGGAAGAAGATGGCAAATGGAGAGAGATCTAAGGAACCTCAAAAATAAGTAAGACACATGCAAAAAAAAAAAAAAAAAATGAAGTTGGACCTTACATCAATACCAAAATTAACTCAAAATGGATCAAAGACCTAAACATAAGAGCTAAAACTATAAAACTCTTAGAAGAAAACTTAGAGTAAATCCTCGTGACCTTGGAATTGGCAGTGGATTCTTAGACATGACACCAAAATCACAGGCAACAAAAGAAAAAACAGATAAATTAGACTTTATCAAAATTAAAAACTTTTATGCATCAAAGGACGCTATTAACAGAGTGAAAAGGCAACCAACTAATGGAAGAAAGTATTTGCAAAAATATATCTGATAAGGGATTAATATCCAAAATATATAAAGAACTTTTACAACTCAACAACAAAAAAGCAAATGGCCCAATTATAAAATGGGCAGGGGACTTGAATACACATTTCTCCAAAGAAGGTATACAAATGGTCAATAAGCACATGAAAAGATGAAAAGGACATGAAAAGATGCTCAACATCACTAAGTTGTAAAGGAAATATAAATCAAAACAATGAGATAACACTTCACACTCATTAGGATGAAAATACACACACAATAACAAGTGTAAGTAAGAATACGGAGAGATTGAAACTCTTGTGCTTTGCCGGTGGAAATTTAAAATGGTTCAGTGCTGTGGAAAACAGTATGGCAGTCCCTTAAAAAGTTAAATATTGTCACTGTGCAAACACCAAAGAATTACCAGTGATCCAGCAGTTCTGCTTCTGAATATTTACCCAAAAGCATTGAAAGCAGGGACTTGAATAGATATCTGTACACCCATATTCATAGCAGCTTTATTCACAATAGTTAAAAGGTGGAGGCAACCCAAGTGTCCATTGACAGATGAATGGATGGACAAAATGTGATTTTTACGTACCACATATTGTAGGCTACAATACAGTGATATGCACATAAAATTGTGTTTTATATAATTTTAACACAATATTATTATTTGGACTTAGAAGGAAATTCTGACACGTGCTACAATATGGATGAACCACAAAGATATGGTAAGTGAGATAAGTGCAGTGAGCTGAGATTATGTCACGGCGCAAATAAATATTGTTTGACTATTCACGTGAGGTACTTAAAGTAGTCACATTGATGGAGACAAAGTAGAATGCTGGTTGGCAGTGGACGGAGGGAGACAGGAATGGGGAGTTAGTGTTTATTGGGTGCAGCATTTCAGTTGGGGAAGATCAGAAAGTTCTGGAGATGGATGGAGGTGGTTGCACAACAATATAAATATACTTAATGCTATAGAAGTGTATACTGAAAAATGGCTAAAATGGTAACTTTATGTATATTTAACCACAGTTTTAAAAAAAGATGAAAGGAAACTGCAAAGAATATTTATAGTATGATCTTGAACCTCAGTACTAGAAAAGATAGATTAACGGGGAACTTTATTTTTAAAATTTTAATTAAAAAAAATTTTTTTTTGAGACAGTCTCACTCTGTTGCCCAGGCTAGAATGCTGTGGTACAATCTCAGCTCACTGCAGCTTCCACCTCCTGGACTCAAGCCATCCTCCCATTTCAGCCTGTCAGGTAGCTGGGACCACAGGTGTGCACCACCACACCTGGCTAATTTTTATTATTTCTTATAGACCCAGGGTCTCCTTATGTTGGCCCAGGCTGGTCTCGACCTCTTCCCACCCTGGCTTCCCAAAGTGCTGAGATTACAGGAGTGAGTCACTGTGCCTGGCCAGAATTTTATTTATTATTTATGTACTTCAAAATATAATTTTGTCATGATTGAATTTTATTTTATTTTTTTAAAATGCAAGAACAAAGTGGATTTGTAAAGAAAATTGAAAGAACTGAGGGTGTTAGCCAAACAGGAATTGATGACAGCAGAGTGGACTATCTGGCTGTATGAAGCATACGTTGTCATACCTGGGCTGTGTGATACGGCCTTTTGTTCCGAGGCTGCACATCTGTACAGCATGTGACTATACTGAATACTTTAGGCAGTTGTAACACAATGTATCTAAACATGGAAACATGTATCTAATGTATCTAATTTATCTAAACATGTACAGCAAAAATACAGTATAAAAGATAAAAATGATACACAGGTATAGGGCACTTGTGAATGCAGCCTGGAGAATTGGAAGTTGCTGTGGATGAGTCAGTGAGTGAGTGTGAGTGGATGTGAAGGCTTCGGGCATTACTGTACACTACTGTTGACTTTATCAACACTGTACACTTAGGCTACGCTAAATTTTTACAAAATTATTTTTCTTTAACAACAAATTTGCCTTAGCTTACTGTAACTTTTTTACTTTATAAACTTTAAAATTTTTTTAACTTTTTGATTCTTTTGTAATAACACTTAGCTTAAAATATAAACACATTGTATAGCTGTACAAAAATATTTTATTTGTATTCTTATTCTATAAGGTTTTTTTAAGATTTTTAATTTTTTTTTTTTTTTTTTTTTTTTTTTTTACTTTTTAAACTTTTTTTTGTTGAAAGCTAAGACACAAACACACACATTAGCTTAGGCCTCCACGGGGACAAAATCATCAGTATGCTTTCCACCTCCACATCCTTCCCACTGGAAGGTGGTAATGGCCAGTAACACACATGGAGCTGTCATTTTCTATGATAACAATGCCGTGTGCTGGAAGACCTCAGGAAGGACCTCCCTGAGGTAACTTTTTTTTTTACATAAGTAGAAGGAGCACACTCTAATGAAAAAAAGTATGATATAGTAAATACATGAACCAGTAAAATAACCATTTATTATCATCAAGCACTGTGAACTGTACATTGTTGTATGCGCTAGACTTTTATATGACTGGCAGCACAGTAGGCTTGTTTACACCAGCATCACACAAACACATAAGTAATGTTTTGTGCCATGACAGTTATGATGTCACTGTGATAGGAGTTTTTCAGCTTCATTATAATCTTTTTTTTTTGTGGCAGGGAAGAGTTTTGCTCTGTCGCCCAGGCTGGAGTGCAGTGGCACGATCTCAGCTCACTGCAGCCTCTGCTTCCTGGGTTCAAGCGATTCTTGTGCCCTCAGCCTCCCAAGTAGTTGGGATTACAGGTGCTCACCACCACACCCGGCTAATTTTGTATTTTTAGTAGAGATGGGGTTTCGCCATGTTGGCCAGGCTGGTCTCGAACTCCTGACCTCAGGTGATCCTCCCTCCTCGGCCTCCCAGAGTGCTGGGATTACAGATGTGAGCCACTGTGCTTGACCAGCTTCGTTATAATCTCATGGGACTACCATTGTTTATGCAATCAGTTGTTGACCAAAGTATTGTCATGTGGCCTTGACTGTGTATGTCACAAAAGGCAGAGTTTCTTTGGTCACTTTAGAGGTATTCTCATTCATTCTGTTCTTGAATACTAGAAACAGTTTATAATATCACTAGGTTTTGAACACCTTACAGTGAGGCAGAATGGCCATTTAGCACATATTCCTAAATAGCTGATGTAGAGGAAGCTAAGGAAATTAAAGGTTGGTTATTTGGAAATGTGCTACTTTGTAGGATTTATTCCCATAGACTATATAATTTTGCAATAAATAGACGTGGGGGTTGGGAAGGAATTCTTTTTGAGCTTCTCCTATATGTTAAATATTGTGCCAGATAAGCGTCACCTGATTATCTCATTGGATGTCACAACTTTATGTGGTAGATATTATCTATTACACAGTTGAGAAAATTTAGAGTCAGAGATATTAAGGATTTTGACTAGTCACATAGTTAGAAAGTGACCCAGCCAGAATTTGAATCTGTATCTTCAACTCCCAAGGTTCCGTCCAACCTTTCTATTGCATGATGAAAGGAGTTACATATATCTGTAATATAACTAGTAGAGTCTGAAGTGAATAGTTTATATGATTTGAGAGTCAGGAGTTGTAAATTCTGGGTTCTCTTTCATACCTACCTAGTTTGAGTGACTGTGGGCAAGGCACTTCTCTAAGTCTCAGCTTCCTCACCTGTAAAGAAAAGGGGTTTGATTGGTTATTTCTTAGACACCTGCGACCACTATTGAAGAAATTTTGGTGTGTTTCAAAGATAATCTTCAAGAACCCAGTAAATCCTGTATCAGATTTTACCATGAAACATACTGCTTATACCAGCTGATTTTTAATTTAAAAAAAAGGGGGGAGCGGTAAATGTGGAGGGAGTAGTGAATGTAACAAATAACTGTCATTGATTGTCTTGATAGGGAGGTAGAATGAGTTTTTTTGCAGCGAAAGCTTAGTTTACTAGTTAACAGTTGGACCTCATGTTGGGACCATGTTGTTAGATACTATCAGATTCGTATCACTTATAAGTCTTCATCTTATCTCTAGGTATTTTGAACTCTTATGGTTTGGAAGCAGAATGACGCCCTGTGGTCACTTAGCAATTTCTCTTCTTGAGGCCAGGCACAGTGGCTTATTCCCGTAATCCCAGCACTTTGGGAGGCCGAGGCAGGACTTGAGGCCAGGAGTTTGAGACCAGTCTGTGCAACAGAGTGAGACCTTGTCCCTACAAAAGATAAAACAAAATTAGCCGGGTGTAGTGGCACATGCCTGTAGTCCCAGCTACTCAGGAGGCTGGGATAGGAGGATCGCTTGGGTCTGCGAGGTCGAGGCTGCAATGAGCCATGTTCATGCCACTGCACTCCAGTCCAGCCTGGGCGACAGTGTGAGACCCTCAAAAAAAAGGTATATATTTTTTTCTCAAGCCAGAGAGATTTGTTGCTGGGATTAGTTTTTGCATGTAATAGCATATGGGATTTTACATCTTCTGTTCCTGTGGCATTCCTTTTATGTCCCAATTCAAAAATAGGCTCAATACTTGAAAAACAATTAACTTGCTGCGAATAACATAGTGAAACATCCTGAGCAACTTGATTTGCTTTTTTTTAGTCAGTGTGGTCTGTTTCCTTCTGTTATTAGATACATGCAAGGTGATGTGAAATTCATTTTCGACTGGGGAGTAAGTCAATGAAAAATCTGAGCTCGTACCCATTACCCAAGTTATTTGTAGAAGACAGCTTCATTTTGTATCTTCCTTTGCTTTATCTCGCTTTCTTCTCTCCAAACTGCAGAGTGGTAAGAATTCTTTTTGTTCCATTTTCATTATTCTTCCCCTTTCATTTTGTTAGACACAGAAGAAAGGCAGTGGGATGGTTTTGTGGATTTGTTTTTTTGTTGTCGTTGTTGTTTTTCTTGAGACTGGCTAATTTTTGTATTTTTTGGTATAGATGGGGTTTCACTGTGTTGGCCAGGCTAGTCTCGAATCCCTGACCTCAAATGATCCTCCCACCTCACCCTCCCAAAGTGCCGGGATTACAGCCGTGAGCCGCCGCGGCTGGCCAGATTTGTTTTTTTCATTGCTTGGTTTAACTTTGTTGTGTATTTCCAGTTTTCTGCACTCTGCTCATAGCCAACTCTCAGCAATGATAGAAGCCAGGAAGAAATACTTTGATTGGCAGCATGATGTCTTTCTTAAGCTTCTCGGGCAACTTCACTTTGGTTATTGTTTTATTGGTCAATGCTTAGGATTTATGGCTAGTATATTATATCACAAGTATAACTGTATGGAAAGCAGAGCTTTGGAGCTTCAGTATTGTTAAGTTTTCTTTGTACCTCTCTTAACTGTATTTTTAAAATGCTACAAAAAATAGTACCTTTTTTCTCCTCTATGTGCTATATTCTGGGTAATTTCACCAGTATTTTCTTGTAATTTTGCCAGTATTCTTTCTGGGAAAATATATTGACTAATCATTCAGAAATGATATTGATAATTTCCAGAAAAGCATTTAGAAAAACGGCTTTAAAAATCACTGTCTTTTCAGCATGTATCAATTCAACATAGTACTGGAGGTCTTGTCCTAATAGGTTTGAAGTTATCACTCACCTCCATCCCCCCACACACTTTTAAAAAGATCTTCTGAAGTCCTGTAGTTATTTTTAATAGATTTTAGTTATGGTATCAGTCGCACTGTCTTGTAATTATTATGACTCTCAGCTCCTCAAGGGCAAGAATACCAGCACTATGTTTCTCAAAGCAGTTGTTCAATCCACTCTTACTGAATAAGTGAAGGATTCTTCTGCTTAAAGAGATTTTACAGATGTAGGTACATATAGGAGCATCTAAGCAGCCAAAGAAGAATATAAAAGTCAGATGCTATTTTTCTTGCTGTGTATCACTTCTGTCTGTATCCACTGTACATTCACAGTCCATTGGCAGTTGGGTTTTTTTTGAGACGGAGTCTCGCTCTGTCGCCCAGGCTGGAGTGCAGTGGCGCGATCTCGGCTCACTGCAAGCTCTGCCTCCCGGGTTCATGCCATTCTCCTGCCTCAGCCTCCCGAGTAGCTGGGACTACAGGTGTCCACCACCATGCCCAGCTAATTTTTTGTATTTTGTATTTTTAGTAGAGATGGGATTTCACTGTGTTAGCCACGATGGTCTCAATCTCCTGATCTCGTGATCCACCCACCTCAGCCTCGCAAAGTGCTGGGATTACAGGCGTGAGCCACCGCGCCTGGCCAGCAGTTGGGGTTTTTTTGATAGTTACTTAAGGATTTTTCTGTTGCATTGTCACATGTCCACTAACCAGAAGCTTCTAAACGGTTTTAATTGCTGACCTCTTAGTTAATAAAGATTCTTACGGTTGGTATTTTATTTCTTATGTATTTCTTTTTATTTTTGAGCAGTCTCTGTGCCAAGACAGAGTCCGTTTCTTTCATTCTTAATAGGCCAATAATGCTTGCTTATAGACATATCGCTACTAAAACCTTTTCTTTTTGGACTTCTAACACATCTGATTTCCATCTTGTCTGTTCCAGTAGCTTTTCTTGTAATTTCATCTCTGCTTTAAATGCCAGTTATTGTTTTTATGCTGATTAAAAACTCAGACTTGCATATCATTAGATAATCATAATCATCTCTGACCAGACGAGGCAAATCTTTCCCACTATTCGACTGGCACAAAATAGTTGCGGTTTTTACCATTACTTTAATTTTGCACCAGCCTAATAGTTGTCATGAAGTAGTAGAAGTATTGGGTATAGAATCAAGACCTAAGTCTGGAGGCATCTCAGCCACTGTCATTAGTTATTTGATTATGAGCAAATCACTTAAAGTGTCTGAAATTCAGTTTTGTCATCTGTAAAATGACATTTATAAAACTTGTTTTATGCATTGTGAGGACTAAGTGAGATATATAGTTGGTTTTATAAGTTATAAAGCAGTAAGAAACACTGACAACAGCTTTATTCTAAGTCATATGTGAATTTTACACAATGTAAAATTTGGGTAAAACATGTCCTTTCAACCTTCCACAAATCTTATTCTTCTCCCTAGAGGTAACCACTATTAGAAGTTTGTTATATATCCTTCTTTATATTTTCGATGCATTTAGTTACCTTTTTTTTTTTTTTTAAGAGATGGGATGTCGCTGTGCTGCCCAGGCTATCTCAAACTCCAGGGCTTGAGTGATCCTCCTGCCTGAGCCTTCTGTGTAGCTAGCCATTTCTGCTTGAGTGTTCTGTTCTGCTGTCATTTAATATGACCTGAGGTCATTTATAAAGATTTTACCTTATTTTAAAAACCTTGCAGGTGGGATGTTGAAATTTTGCAATAATTGATAACACTATTACCTTATTATTAATGGAAACTGAGGTTTTTTTTCCTAGTTTTTCACTAAGGCAAACAACACTGTTTTGAAAATCTTCGCACATGCTTCTTTGTCTAGATAGAGATGTGAAGTTACAGGAAGGTATATGCATTCAATATTTTGATAGTACTGCCAAATTACTTTCCATAACAGCATCCCAATATACTTATATTCCTACTATTAGGTGTGAGAGTATCTATTGACTCATCTTTTTGCCTATTCATGGTGTTTTCATTTTTGCTAATCTCATATGTAAAACATGGTATCTCAAATCTAAAAGAATGTTCGTAGGCAGCATGGTGTGAGCACAAAAACCATTAAGTGGAAACAATTCAATTATCCATTAACAGGAAAATAGGACAGATAAGTAATTTATTTGACATGTTTATAGTTTATAAGAGAATACTAAATGGCAATCATAGTAAAATACAGTTATGTGCCCTAGTGGAGGTGAATCTTACATAGTATTGAGCAAAAATGCCAAATTACTGAAGAATACCTGCAATAGGATCCATGCCTGTAAAATTCAAAATCACGCAAAATTAATGCATTTGTAAGAGACAGATATATACAGGGAGGGCTTGAGAGTTCCAAATAGCCTTATCTGAGAGGTAGGAAATAAAGAAGAGTGCTAAGGCAGGTGGAGGAGTAAATCCATTTCCTCTGACACATCTCTGTGCAACCTGTTATGACCAACTTTTCTATTGAAGTTTTTGACAATACTGGCTTATACGAATGTGATCTTTTCCTTATATTTTTTTCATTGTTGAACTCCAGGATTTTATGGAATATGGTTCATATGTGGGATGTCCTCTGGGAGTGATGAATTTCTGTTAATATGCTTTTGGGGTTTTTGATTACTTTCTTAATCAGATAATCCCCTTCTCAGACAATCATGAAATGTTTATTGTAAGGGAATAATATGGAATCATTAGTAGGGATGAGAACCTGGAAAAATGGAAAGAACAGGGGTTTGTAGTCCAGCAGACACAGGTTGGCAGTTTGAATTTCCCATTCAATATCTATGTGTTATTGGGCCAGTTACTTACCTTCTTTCAGTTAGTTTCCCCAGTGATAGGAAATATATTTTTGTATACTGCTATATTATCTCATTCTTTTTGCCTCTATCTCTTCCTCTTTTCCACCATCCTGGAACTGTACTGATTAGGTGCTTAATAACTGGGGGGTTATCATCATCATTGTTAAAATTTGTAGAGAATGGTGTGTGGAAGTAAATTTATAGAATCCAGAACAAACAAAAGGCACTTGTGCATTTCGGAAAGAGCCTTGTTCTTTTGTTAAAATCTAAACTGCATGTCTCCCCTATAAAAATCAGTATGAAAAATAGCCAACATTGCCTATAACTATTATTATTTTTAAATAACAGATTTAATGAGATATAATTCACAGACCATAAATCTCGCATTTATGAAGTGCTTTTAGTGTTTCAGTGGTTTTTAATATAATAATGGATGTGTGCATCCATCACTAAAATCTAACTCCAGAACATTGTCATCTCCCTCCAGATAAACCTGGTAGCCGTTAGCAGTCACTGCTCATTTCTTCCCGCTAGTCCCTGGAACCACTAATTTATATTCTGCCTCTATGAATAATCTGCCTATTCTTGATATTTCATACAAATCAAATTATATAATTTGTGGCCTTTTGTGTCTGTTTTCAAGCATGGTGTTTTCAGTATTCATCTGTGTTGTATCTGTACTTTATTTTTAAAATTACTGAATAATATTCCACTATGGATGTACCATACTTCATTTATCCATTCATCAATCGACGGACATTTTGGTTTTTTTCTGCTGTTTGGTTATTATGAAATAATGCTGCTATGAACATTCATGTATATTATTTTGTGTGGACATATGTTTTCAGTTTTCTTAGTTACATACCCAGGTGTGGAATTGCTGGGTCATATAACTCTATGTTTAATAGAAGGACTATCCAACTGTTTCCAGAGCAGCTATACCATTTTACATTCCCACCCGCAGTGTAGAAGAATTCTGATTTCTCCATGTCTTTGACAATACTTATTGTTGTCTGGCATTTTGTTTATAACCATTCTGATGAGTGTGAGTTTTATCTCAATGTGGTTTTGATTTGCATAATGACTTATGATGTTGAGCATCTCTTCATGTACTTACTGGCCATTTGCACATCTCTTTTGCAGAACTGTCTGAATTCCTACACATTTTCTGGTTATTTAGCTCCATTTATTTATTACACATTCTTTTGGGTGTCTACATGTGTTAGATACTGTGCTAGATCTCAGGGAAACCATGATGAACAAGACACAGGGTCTCTGCAGTAAGCTTAAGTTGTCTTCAGACTTCCATGCTTTTGACTATCAAATATCTGAATATAGTCAACCTACCAATTAGTGGAAAGTTTACTCTATTGTTATATTCAAAAGTCCTATCAATGAAAATTTCTTTTACGCTGTTCTGCTAGTAGGAATGAAAGTACAGTGAATGGAAGAAGAGGATGAATATCTAAGTAGCAATGTTGAGCACTTTGAAAATTACAAAAGCAATGTATGTTCTCATTTACTCCTTCGTGTGCACGTGCATCTTCCCTCATTTAAAAGTTCCCTTGAAAGCAAGGGCCTTATTTTTAATTCATCTTTTTTTACTCCATCAGTCGACTAACAGTGCTTGGAAAATATTAATATTAGTATATATTAACTGAATGATTGAATGGGTCAAGTAAGCTGGAAATGAGTGTTCATGTTATATGACCTTATACTAAATTAGGGTTTGCATGGCTTTTATTAGCTATCATCCTTGCCCTCAAGGATCTTGACTTAGTGGTTTAAAGTGAAAATGAGACAGATACTCAACATGATATACCTTTAAAAAATAAGGTTAATTAGAATCATAAGTAACATAAAAAGTAAGCTGCACAAGTAAGCTAAGTAAATATTAAATATTAGGAGGAGTCACTTGAGTCCATAGGATGATATAGAGTAGTAGAGGAAGTCTTGAACAGAGGTCAGATTTCATCCAGATTTCAAAGAACTGAGGGGATAAAACAAAAAATAAATAAATAAAAAAGTAAAAACTGAGGGGAAACAGGCTGATAGAGACGAAGACCTAAAACTTTTCTGGGTTAAGAGGCAGTTCTCAGCAGGGTTGGTACTTGTCCCCTTTCCATCCAGGGGACATTTGGAAATAAACCAACAAGTTTTTGGTTATCCTAGTGTTTAGGGGTGCTAACGGCTTAGTGTGAGTTGGGGCTGGGGATGCTGAAGTCCCACAGTGTATGATGAAGTTAGGAATTAACTCTGACCCCAGTCGCAGTAGCACCCTGCCTAAGATATACTGGAAAGGAAACAGATTTAGCTGCATAAGGAAGAAATAGTTTTTATGAATAGTGCTCCTAAGCAAATACTGTTTTTTGTTTTTGCCAGTGTAGAGGCTTAACGAGGAGATATATACACTTAGGTAGGGTGGAATACAGTTAATGGAACATTTTAGGAACCAGGGCAGGAATTTATATTTGATCAGTTTGGATGATTTTGATTATGCCTAACATTTTCTTTCATCTCATGGTTTGATATTTTTCTTGTCTTTCTCATAGAACGAGCCTCTGACTCCAGGTTATCATGGATTCCCAGCGCGGGACAGCCAGGTTGGTATCTGCTGTTTGTAACTCAGATGATGTATGTGTGTGGTGTGTTTCATCAAAGGGTTGCTATGATAGAGAGCATTTCCTGAAATTACTTACTTTGAAAGGAAATGTGGCTTGTTTCAGCAGTGAATTTACTTTTACAGATGTAAATTAAGCATATTTTTAAATTCTATAAGTATTATGTTATTAAAATTGTGGATATTAGAAGAGAAAATAATCACTCAAGCACAGTCATGATTGGTTTTGTATTTTCTTCTCCAGGCTACATAATAATTTTTTGACCTGGTTTTCTTGATGCCTTATAATTCTGAATGCTGGACTTGTCTCTTTATTACCTGCCAGTTAGCCCCTGCCTGCACAGAGTTTTTGAGTCCTTGTAATGATCTGTAGCAAGAAAATTCCATTCTCCTCCCTGGGGGAATTCAGCCTTATGGTTTTAATCAGGGAAAGCTTGCCTGAGAAAGCAAAGTTTCTGCCACCTTTCTTTGTTAGATGGGAGGATGACTGGAAAAGCCCAGGCCCTATTATGGGTCAGAGCAGAATTGCTTCCTACGAGACACCCTCAGTATGGTTTAGGCAAGTGTGTAAAATGCCTTCCCTATCTTTTTGTTGTTTGAATACTTGAGCCCATGACGTTGAAACAGAGTTAGGATAGAAGAACAGGTAAGGCTTCCTCTTAGAGAAATGGTGTGGCTTAAATCACCTCGCCTCTGAAAGAAATTTGTATCTTTGATGTTTGGGGATATTGACGTTCTTCAGGAGATTTGAAAGGGTAGCTCCTAGAAATATCTTGGAATGCCATTATTCCTTACAGGGTTGTCAAAAAAAGCTACCATTGTTATACTTGTCCAGGAGATATGAGTTACAGTGCTAAACGAAAGAGTTCATAGTGTCCTTTCCAGAAGTTCATTGAATCTCATCAGAGCTCCTGAAGTGGATCTTAAAAACTAGGATGGTCGGCTGGGTGCGGTGGCTCATGCCTGTAATCCCAGTACTTTGGGAGGCCAAGGTGGGTGGATCATGAGGTCAGGAGTTTGAGACCAGCCTGGCCAACATAGTGAAACCCCGGCTCTACTAAAAATACAAAAATTAGCTGGGTGTGATGGTATGCAGTTGTAGTCCTGGCTACTCGGGAGGCTGAGGCAGGAGAATTGCTTGAACTGGGGAGGTAGAGGTTGCAGTGAGCTGAGACTACACCATTGCATTCCAGCCTGAGTGATAGAGCGAGACTTTGTCTCAAAAACAAAACATAAAACAAACAAAAACAACAACTACAAAAAAACAAAAACTAGGATGGTTGATAATCAATAGTCACCTATTTGCAGGCCTTTCAGATTTGAGAGTATTTGTCCAATTCTTGCACTTTTGGTGCTGAGTTGATATCAGAGTGGCCCCAGATAAGGCATCGGGAGAAGAAGTGTTGTTAGCTCTGTGTTCATCCCCTACTGAGTTCATCACTGTTGATATTGAAGATGGAAGCTTTTGGTAAAAGATAGGGCCATTTACCCTAAATCTAAAGAGAATGTAAAGATTTATTTGTTTTTCATTCTGGTTTGTGTCTGTCCTAGAGCTTCTCTAAGCTGGGAAACTTATGCCTTTGATAGTACTTTTATATCTTAGTCATATATCAGAAAAACATTCTCATACCTGGAGATCCACCCCACGGAGTTTCTGATTGGGTAAGTGTAAGATTGGGCTTACCCATTCAAATGTTTAAAAATCCCAAAGGTGATTCTGCTGTGTAGTGCGGTTGAGAACTACAGTCCTATGGGCTGCTTTAAAAGCAGTGACAGTTTCTGTTTCATCCTGTACTTTTCACTTAGGACATGTAATAAAGGGGTCGTGGTTAGTCTCTTAATCTAGTCTTGCAAACTAATGCAGTTACTTTATTATTTATAAAATGTTGCTTATTGTGGATTTAGGAAGGTAAAGCTAATTGATGTAAAGTATGGAAATAGACTTACTGAGTTTAGAAGACTGAAAGGGTACTGTATTCTTCTTGTGGGGATTATAGATCAATAAGGAGCTAAGCAAAAGGAGTTAATAGGAATTTATTAAAGCCTAAAAAAGTAGTCTCTTTGATTGTACCTACTTTTTCTTTCTTTTGCAGTAGGGGCCCACTTCTGTAACCTGCACATTCATTACTCATGCTGTCTCTGCTGCAGGCCTGTTACAGACCCTTTGCCATGGTTTAAAGCTGCTGATTTACTTTGAGGCACATTCTGATGGTGACAGGTTTATTTTAGTTTATTTTCTTGGGCTTTAATTTGTACTCTGGTTGGATCTTTGAATTAGAGATCTTAGAGTGTGCAAATAGGCAAATATTGAATAGCTGCTTGTTGTATTTGATGAATACAGAATCCAAATGAGTACTGCTAATTAATGCGCCTAACCTTGTGAACTCTCACTTTGCGTTTTGAGATTTGGGAGGCATTTATCAGCGTGAAACACTGGTCGCTGAACAGTCTGAGCTGGCGGAAATGGAACTTGTGATCTTTACGTCTCCTCAGCATGGTTTTGGCTCAGCAAATCGAGGAACTGGGGAATGGGGTGAAGGTGAATTTTAATTGTGCTTTTGTTTGCTTTCCCTTTTTTTTTTTTTTTTTTTTGTTGTTGTTGGTTTGGTTTGGTTTTTGAGACAGGGTCTTGCTCTGTCACCCATACTGGAGTGCAGTGGCATGAACATGGCTCACTGCAGCCTTGACCCCTGGGGTGCAAGTGATTCTCCCACCTCAGCCTCCTGAGTAGCTGGGACCACAGGTGTGTGCCACCACACCCGGCCTGTTTGCTTTCCTTATTCTTTCACTGTTCCTTCCTAAATAGATGAGAACCATCTGCAGACAAGATTCTTATCAGTGGCTGAATGGTGATTTAAAAAGAGATAACTCTTTTGATTGTTTTGGACCACTTTCATTGTATTTTCTCATCTTATTCTCCCAAACACCCCTTTTGAAGTAGATGAGGCAAATATTCCCTCTGGAAAGATGAGGAAATTGAAGCACACAGAGGTAAAGTGACTTATCCAAGGCAACAATTCAAGTAAGTAGCTAAATAAGAGCTGAAATTTCCCCTTCTGTCTGAGGGTCCTTTTCTCTGTACTGGAGAATTATTGATTGACCATAGGAAAATGTGGTCACGTGTGAATGTGCCCATTCACTCATTTACATTATTTTATTTACCATGTGGGGGCTTCGTAGACTTCTTCAAGCTCAACCACAGATGTAGAAGTCTGTGACTCCTGATTAAAGATTATTACTACTAAGTTTGTTAGCACCAAGTGTACCACCAGCATTTCACTTTTTTAGTGATTCTTTTGTCATGTTATATACAGTCCCAATAGCACATTGGAGTTAAACACCTGAAGGAAAGGAGCAGGGAAAACCACCCGCCACCTCTTGCATGTTTATGCAAGGTCACCTCAGCCTTCTTTCTTGATCTATTAAGAAGCTTTATGGGATGACAATCCATTGCTTTTATAAAGCACTCTGAGCATTTCACTATACTTTCTAATGTGGTTTCTCTATGGAAGTGGAGGAGACAAACATTGTTCCAGTTTTACATAAGTGAAAACTAGTTCAGAAAAGTGAGAAATTTTATCTAAGGCCATGCAGGACCAAGTGCAGTGGCTTACATCTATAATCCCAGCACTTTGGGAGGCCAAGGCAGGAGGATTGTTTGAGCTCAGGAGTTGGAGACCAGCCTGGGCAACATAGCAAGACCTTGTCTCTACTAAAAATAAAAAAAATCAGCCGGGTGTAGTGGTGTGTGCCTGTAGTCCCAGCTACTCGGGAGGCTGAGGTGGGAGGATTGCTGGAACCTGGGAGATTGAGGCTGTGGTGAGCTATGATTGTGCCACTGCGCTCCAGCCTGGGTGACAGAACAAGACCCTGTCTCAAAAATAAATGAATAAATAAACCCAGGCAGGATTTTAGATTGATGATACAATGTAGTGGTTTAGATTCCTAGTTGACTGTTTGTGATTTGTGCATGTGCTTAGGCGTGTTCCCAGGCCTTGATTAAGGCTAGAATGTTTTATGGATTTGCAGTATTTTTAAAGTGGGAGAATACTTATGTGCATCAGCTCTAGGGTTTTTATATAAGAAGAGCTTAAGAGCAGCAATCTGATTAGAAGAGGGCCTTGTTCTGCACAGCAGCCTTACTGTTTTTGCGAAGATTATTTATATGGGATGGCTCTTAGGGGTTTCCTAGAAAGTGATGGGGGTCCTAAGGCTCCTAAGGCTGGCCCCTCGCTCGCTTTTGGTGCAACAACTTTATGTCTGTTATAAATAAGGTGACCATATAAACTTTAGCATTCAAGTTGGGGCACTTTTGAGAATAAAAAGTGATGCCAATAATTAGTTTCAAACAGTCCCAGGTAAACTGGGATGTATGGCCATCCTTCTCTAATTGAAGAAATACAGTCAGTGTTTTCTTAACCAAAGTGATCAGAACTAGTAGGCCGTGGGTTAATCTAAACAATTGGTTGAAGTGGGGAAATATTTTAAACTTTTATTTTAATATAGAGCATTTTTAATTTAAACAAATATATGCTTACTCTTTAGTTTCCTGATATGAGGTCAAGATCCTTATATATAGATGTGATTGAAATACTACTTGAATTTTTTGCATAAACTGTGCTCCCAGAGCATCATCTGTGAGTTCTAATTTGTTTTTTTTTTTAAAGAGGAACACGGTCTTGATGACATTCAGAGCAATTTGGGTGAAACTGTCTATCTAGATTTGTATGGTTTTCCCTTCTTGCCCGGTCTTTTACAGTTATCCTGCCCACATCTAATTTGAGCCTAAGTTTTCAGTGTCTTGACTTATTTTTCACAAAGCATTCACATTAGTTATTTTCAAGGAAATTTTCTAATTTATTTCATTGATGTGTGTATATATATATATATATATATATATATAACATTTAATTATATAATTATAAGAACTTACGACTTCTATAAACTGGCAGGTGAATAAACACAAGTGATTTTTGGTAAGCATACAACTCAGCTACTGGGAGAAGAAAGGGCTTGGGGGCAAATAGGAGAGAGTTGTTTACTAGTTTTAGGTGGTTTAAGACTGTTAAAAGCGTCCCTTTATTAGACTTGGGAACTGGAGAACATTAGTTAATTTAACAAGTTAATTGATTAAAAGAGGCTTATACTTTAATCAACCACAGGGAAGACTTACTTTTGTTTCATCAATTTTGTATCTCCTTAGTGGTTACTTGACTAAATTTTGTTCTATTGTTTTAGAGTCAACTCGGTTTGGGGGATGGGTAGGGAAGAGGATTAGAACAGATACACACAAACTAGAGATAATTTGTTTTGCTTCATTGGGGTGGCCTAACCAAGTAAGGGATGTTCAGCAGTGGGATACTTGCAAAACTAAGTGTTGAAAGCTTTCATTATTTCATCATTAAAAATTATTTAAGCTGTAGTGTACTATTTTGTTTATTAATTGATGAATACAAATGTATATATTTGTGGTACACAAAAAACCCAACTAATATCTGCTAACTGCTTTACAGTTTACAAAACCCTCCTGTGTATATCCACTTTTGATCTTCACAATAGTTCAGCTAGGTGGCTTGGGCTTTATTATCCCAATTTTATAGATAAAAGAATACCAAAGCACAGAGACTGTCAAATGAATCTCCCAGTCTTAGTTATATAGGTAGTAAGTAAAGAATTGGACTTGAACCCCGATTTTCAGCCTCCATGTCTTGTATTTCCCTTTTGTATTTGTCTGTCAGTGTCTCTCTGAATATAAGTGTTCTTTTGCTGGTGTGACAAGATAAGATATTCTGGAATCTTTGGAGAATGTGGGAGCATGAAGTCTTCATATGACTTGAAAGTTCTTGAGTAACTTATTTCTGTCAAGTTTTCTATCTTGTTTGTTAAAATAACTTATGATCTAAATTTTATCTTTTCATATTTTAAATACAAAGAAAAATGTCATGTTGTCAATTTTTTTGAGACTCTGTTGCCCAGGCTGGAATGAAGTGGCGCAATCTTGGCTCACTGCAACATTTGCCTCCCGGGTTCAAGTGATTCTTCTGCCTCAGCCTCCTGAGTAGCTGGGATTACAGACATGCGACACTAAGCCTGGCTAATTTTTGTATTTTTAGTAGAGACAGTGTTTTGCCATGTTGGCCAGGCTGATCTCAAACTTCTGACCTCAGGTGATCTGCTCACCTCAGCCTCCCAAAGTGCTGGAATTACAGATGTGAACCACCACGCGGGGCCCATTCTTTGATGTTTAAAATGCTTGTCAATGACTTCTCAAAACTATATTTTTTTCTTCAATTTTCTAAAATTCTGTTGAAAGACACAATGTCCCATTGATTAGCAGAAACAAGTGGGAACATCAAAGGAGATGCTTAAGTTGACAAATATAACATAGACAATTATAGATTTAAATTCAGAGTGGCAGCCTTACTTTTAATAAGAGGGTAAATTTAAAATGACCTAAGGGTTTCTTTTCTTAACAAGTATTTTCTTTCCTCAAGATTTTTTTTTTCTTTTTTCTAACCAGTTTTTTCATGGGTAGAAAATGAACTTTATTTTAGTCAAATTTTTGCAATGAACTTTCAAGGCTTTTTTTTTATTGGGAGCTGTGGACAACAGCAAATATATCTTCTGTAGTGCTCATTTGGCTTGATTGAAGAAATGATGACTACTTTTCTTCCCTCGGGGATAGTTGGTGGAATGGAGGACATGGTAAGTGTGTTCAGGTTCTAGCTTAGTGCTTTTGAGCTTAAAAAAAGACTGACCCCAAGGAGGCAGTTGCTTTTATGTCATGACCCAGTATACACACATACATATATGTTGACTATAACTTAGAATTAGTCTTACCAAATGCTGCCTATCTTAACCATGTTCTAAGTACTGTGATATTTTCTGTCCCCTTCAAAAAATTGTCGATTGTGACTAACGATTGACCAAAATTGATTTCTGCTGGATTTTTCCTGGACCCACTAATGGATTGCAACCTGTTTGAAAAACATTGTTCTAATACTTACATTCCTTAAAAATGCAACCTTAAAGAAACCTCATGCCTTTATTTTTTTGAGATGGAGTCTCACTTTGTCACCTAGGCTGGAGTGCAGTGGCATGATCTCTGCTCATTGCAACCTCCACCTCCCAGGCTCAAGTGGTCCTCCTACCTCAGCCTCCTGAGTAGCTGGGACCGCAGGTGTGCACCTCCATGCCCAGCTAGTTTTTGTATTTTTGGTAGAGATGGGGTTTCACCATGTTGCCCAGGTTGGTCTTGAACTCCTGAGTTCATGCGTTCCACCCGCCTCAACCTCCCAAAGTGCTGGGATTACAGCCGTAAGCTTCCATGCCGGGACACAAGAAACCCCATACCTTTTAGCAGTCACTCCCCTACTTTCCATCTCTCCACCCAAGCTCTAAGGCCCCCCAGCTGGAGACTGAATTAAAATGGTTCAGAAGTAAAACGTTACCCCTTCTGTATCTCGCAATCTATAATAATTTTCTTTCTGATCCTCTTTTTTTTTTTTTTTTTAACTAAACATGCTTTTGCTTTGCTCTTAAATTACAGGAAGTGTGAAATTGCTTTTTTTCCCCCCTGTTAGGTTGTCTAGAACCCCACTTTCAGCCTTTGTGCAAAGCTTTTTCAAACTGTTGCTTCTGTCCAACATCTGACCTCAGGTCACCCATCAATAGTTTAGGTCCTTCTGTGGTGTTGTCCTTACACCCTCTAGTGGATGAAGGTCTGGTATATGCTGTAGTGTCTAGTGTTCTTGTAGCACTTTTCTCAATCCATGTAATCAGCTTTACTATTACATTTTAGATCATTTCATTCTTCAAACAGTTAAAAATCTTTTCACTCCAGGAAAGACTGTTTTATTTCTTCTGCTGCTCACTGCCATGCTAAGTAATATGCTTATTCTGCTGTTTCATGATTTGTCCAAATTTTGGCACTATTCTTTGGCTTCCTACTGTTGAAGATGAGAAATTAGCAATTTTATTTTATTTTATTTTTATTTTTTGAGACAAGGTCTTGTTGTGTTGCCCAGGCAGGAGTGCAGGTGTGTCATCTTGGCTTACTGCAACCTCCGCCTCCTGGGTACAAGTGATTCTTGTGCCTCATCCTCCCCTGTAGCTGGCATTACAGGCGCACACCACCAAACCCGACTACTTTTTATATTTTTAGTAGAGATGGGGTTCCTCTGTGTTGGCCAGGCTGATCTCGAACTCCTGACCTCAAGTGATCCGCCTGCTTCAGCCTCCCAAAGTGCTGGGATTACAGGTATGAGCCACTGCGCCTGCCCAGAAATTAGCAGTTTTATAGACCTCTTTCCTTCTAATAAAGCCATTTTTTGGGTCAAATCAATATTTATTGATTTGTGAATATATAATAATTATTATGACTATTTATTTTATATCCAAACAAAATATTATTACTTTGCCTGTCTTACATATTTGTTTCCCTTGGAGTTACTATGTAGAGAAAATAAATATAAATATGTATTTGGCTGTTGCTTTTTAAAAAGCTCTATGGCCAGCGCAGTGGCTCACGCCTGTAATCCCAGCACTTTGGGAGACTGCGGCGGGGGAATCACCTGAGGTCTGGAGCTCGAAACCAGCCTGGCCAACATGGGGAAACCCTATCTCTACTAAAAATACAAAAATTAGTGGGGCATGGTGGCGGGTGCCTGTAATCCCAGCTACTTGGGAGCTGAGGCACGAGAATCGCTTGAACCCAGGAGGCGGAGGTTGCAGTGAGCTGAGATTATGCCACTGCACTCGAGCCTGGGCGACAGAGTGAGACTCCGTCTCAAAAAAAAAAAAAAAAAAAAAAGTTCTATTAAGATGTCATTTCTATACCTAAAATTTACTCAATGTAAGTGACTTGTTCAGTGATATTTAGTAAACGTATAGAGTTGTGTCACAGTCCAGCTTTAGTACATTTCCCTCATTCCCCAAATTCTTTCAAATTCTTTTGCAGTCATTCCCTGCTCCCTCTCCAGTCCTCCCTCTCTCCCCCAGCCAACCACTGCTCTGCTTTCTGACTTTATAAAATTGCCTCTTTTGTGCTGGACACGGTAGCTCATGCCTGTATACCAGTACTTTGGGAGGCCGAGGCAGGAGGATCCTTTGAGCCCAGGAGTTCAAGACCAGCGTGGGCAACACAGCGAGACCATGTCTCAAAAAAAACAAAAAAAATGGTCGCTTTTGGACATTTTATATAAATGGAATTATATGATATATGTAGTCTTTGGCATGAGATTTCTTACAATTAGTATAATGTTTTTGAGGTTCATCCAGGTTGTAGTATGTATCACTGTGTCATTTTTTATTTTTTTTTGCTAAATAATATTTCATTATAGTGATGTATCACCTTTTGTTTATTTGTTTACCAGTTGGTAGATATTTGTATTGTTTCCAACTTGGCTATTATGAATAGTGCTGATATGAAGAATTACCTGCAAATCTGTGTGTTGACATACTTTAATTTCTCTTGGGTAGATTTCTAGGAGTGGAATTACTGAGGCAATGGTAAACTCATGTATAATTTCTTCTTTTTAAGAGAAATAAGCCAGTGTGGTGGCTCATGCCTGTAATCCCAGCACTTTGGGAGGCTGAGGTGGGTGGATCACTTGAGGTCAGGAGTTTGAGACCAGCCTGGTTAACCCAGTTAAACCCCATCTCTACTAGAAATACAAAAATAAAATAAATAAAATAAAATAATAATAATCATAATAAAAGAGAAATGAGGTCGCCAATGCTGGAGTGTGGTGGTGCAATCATAGTTCAATTTAGCTTTGAACTCCTGCCTCAAGTGATCCTCCTGTCTCAGCCTCCCTGAGTAGCTGGTATTACCAGCTTGAGACAACGTGGCCTCATGCATAACTTTTAAAGAAACCACAGACTGTTTTCCAAAGTGGCTTGGTTTTATCTAACTTTTTGTTATAATGAGTGTATGGTAATAGCTCATTGTGGTTTAATTTGCATTTCCCTAATAATTAAGTAGGTACCTTTTCATGTGCTTATCAGCCACTTATGTTTGCTTTGGTGAGATGTCTATTCAGGTCTTTTGCCCACTTTTTATTTGGTTTTTCTTCTTATTGAGTTGTAAGAAGTCTTTATATATTCTGGGTACAAGTTCTTTGTCAGATTTACAATTTGCAAATATTTGTTCTCAGTTATGAGGTTTTGTAATATGTATCTTCGTCCTTCTCCAATAAAAGAAAACAGAATTGTTTTCATCCATATTTGCTAAGTTTGCATAAATTCTGAATAACTATTTTATGAAAGCAACTATGAAAACAGGCATTTGCCTCTCTGCTGAGGCCTGGTGGTTCCTTCAAAGAAGATTTGCAGGTTTGTAGTGGCTTCGTGCTTGGCTACAGCCTTCTCCCGATGCTTGGTGGCAAGCATGTTTGGGCAGGAAAGCTCTTCATGTGATGAAGAGAAATTGTGCTGCTTTCTGCATGTCCTAAGGTATATGGCAGAGTGAGGATCAGCTAGGTTCATTGGCTTTTATTTTTTTAAACTGTAGCTTCTATATAAAGCTGTTTTGTGGCAATTTCTCTGCAGACAGACAGACAGACACCCCTGCCCCCCCAACAGACACAGACACACACACATATGCACACACCCTCCTTGGCTTTAGGTTTAAATATCAATCCTGCTGTTGCAGGCTAAATGACTTTAGGCAAGTTTTTGTTCTCTGAGCCTCAATTTCTTCATCTGTGAAATAGGAATAATTCCTATTATGAAAGGTTGTTACAGTATTAGAGATAACATATGTAAATTTCTTGGCATGTAAATAGGGCTAGTAAGTCATTTTTCTCATTTATTTTATGGAAAAGAGGCCATAAGGAAGCTTTACAAGGGAATGATTAGTTCTCACATTCTGATTTAAGTCTATTTTCTCATTTTCCTTTTGATTCTTATTCACTATTTGAAATGAATTATCTGTAGATTTGAAATTTCTAGCTCAGGAATCTAGCTGTTGGACATCTCCAAGAAAAAGAGGTCTTTGTGAAGGAAATGAAATCTGTGTAAGTTTATTTACCTGACTCTTGGGTCTTGGCAGCATGCGTATAAGAGGGAGTCATTTTTGGGACTTTATAACTTGAGCAGAATTTTGTAAAAACTGAGCCAGACATTCAAGGCTCGCTACAATTTGCTTCCCATTTTTCCAGCTCTGTTTCTCATTACTACCCTAGTAACATATTTCTTCTGCTTTTTTTTTTTTTTTTTTTTTTGAGACGGAGTTTCACTCTTGTTGCCCCGGCTGGAGTGCAATGGTGCGATCTTGGCTCACCGCAACCTCCACCTCCCAGGTTCAAGCAATTCTCCTGCCTCAGCCTCCTGAGTAGCTGGGATTACAGGCATGTGCCACCACACCCAGCTAATTTTGTATTTTTAGTAGAGACAGGATTTCTCCATTTTGGTCAGGCTGGTCTCGAACTCCCAACCTCAGGTGATCCACCTGACTTGGCCTCCCAAAGGGCTGGGATTATAGGCGTGAGCCACTGTGCCCGGCCTTTCTTCTGCTTTATATATGTCTCTTCACTGTCCTTCAAATATCTATCTTGGGCATTTATTTCTTCCTAATGCCTTTCGTTTGAAATGTTTCTCCTTTACCAGCAGAATCCTAAGTATCCATTAAGATCCTTGTTCACAACTTAATCTCCCTTATGAAATTTTTCCTTATTGCCTCTGATTGTTTCAAATCGTTTAACATGTCTGTATGAACATTTCCATAAAGTTTGGATCCAAGAGAGTTTGGGAAATACTGCGAGGACTAGGAGGAAATCACTTAACTTCTCTCAAGACTCAGCTTTCTGTGAATGTGAGGATACCATAGGATGTTTGAAAGGATTAAAGTCTTAAAAATGTCCTAGGTCAAGAGTGACTTATTGCCTGATGTTGTGAAAATAGGTTGCACTAAACTCTGCCTTTGGCTTTCCAGGTAACCCAGAAAGTCTCTTCTCATCTTCTCATCTCTGGGCCCAAGTTTCTTCTTTTTGCTTTAAGGACTCTTTGGTGGTAATGGGTTTGGTTTTTGTGGGTCCTGGGAGTGTCATACTTTGAGCGTTCTCTCACCTCCTAAATCCTTCAGGGCTACTGTGGATCTGTGGATAGATGAATGATGCCAGAAGTATTAAAAATATGGCTGGCTTTTATTCTCATCGCTCTTCTGTACCTGGTTTGTCACATCTTGCCTTTTATGCCGCAGTTTGACTTTTCCCCCTAGCTTTGCCTCTTTTTGCTTAGTTTAGGGTTGCTGGGATTGTTGAGCTGTGATTGTTAGTCCACTCATGACCCAGTTGCTTAAATATTTTGTTAATGGATGGATCATAATTTCACTGATTGACTTTTCAATAGATTGACCTGTTATTTTGTATATAGGCAATTGATTTGTATTGTAATGAGAGGTTTAATGTGACCATCAAAAAGAATTATCTGACTAAAGATAGGGCCATTTACAAAGGAAAATTATAGAATTTCCATTAGCAATTTTCAAAATCGAGAAATTCATCTGACTAGACTTGGTTAGGGCAGCTAAGTAGTTAGTAGGGATATTCTTGCTGTAGCGGTTAGTACTACCAAGCAATCGATGGTCTTTTATAATCAATTCTGGCTACCATTTTGTGAGTTACATTTAAGAAGCTTGACATATTTATTCAGTGCTTTGTTCTTCAACAGACAGTCACTGGCAGATGATTTAGAATGAAACCAACTAATTAAGTATAAGGTAAGACAAAAGGCCTCATAGTTGGTGGACAATATAGTTACGGGTTTCAGTTACAGATTAAATATTTTAATTTTCTTAATAGCATTAGCTGCATACTATTATACTGATCTCATCTAGGGTTGATTAGAGAGACAGGGGAATACAACAGGTAACTTAAGATCTTGTGTTAGAAACTTTGGTACCACCAGAAAATACTCTCAGCAAGTACTATGTAATCATGCATTTAAACAGCTCTGATCTCACTGGAGTCTCATTACTCTGCTTAGCTTTTATCTGCTGAATATTCTTTAGTGTGATATCCTAAGCCTTCTGTGATATGGCCTCAGTCTTTTTCCTTCTGTTTTGTGTAAGGTACTCTGTTCAAGCCACACTGTGGGGTGGGGTAGCGTAGCTTTGGAATTAAATGTGGGTTTGAATTCTAATTCCTTTACTTACACTATTTCCCATGTCCCATGTTTAAATACAGGTCGTCCTTTAAATCTCACTTCAAATGCTACCTTCTCCTTGAGGTTTTGGCTAGTGCATTTATTTGCGAGCTGACTCAGTGTCCCAGGGCACATGCTTTCTACTTTGCTTTTTGTGTTTTTTTTGGAGACAGGATCTCTCTCTGTCCCTCAGGCTGGAGTGCAGTGGCGGAGCCTCGAACTCCTGGGCTCAAGTAAGTGATCCTCCCACCTCAGCCTCCCAAGTAGCTGGAACTACAGGCATGCATGTGCTACCACGCCTAGCTAATTTTTTAATGTTTTATTTTTAGTAAAGACAGCGTCTTGCTATGTTGCCCAGGCTGGTTTTGAATTCCTGAGCTCAAGCAATCCTCTTGCCTCAGGCTCCCAAAGTGTTGGGATTACAGGTGTGAGCCACTGCACCCGGCCTTCTACTTTTTTTTTAAATTTTTTTATTTTTTATTTTTATTTTTTGAGATAAAGTCTTGCTCTGTTGCCCAGGCTGGATTGTAGCGGCTGGATCTCGGCTCACTGCAACCTCTGCCTCCTGAGTTCAAGTGATTCTCCTGTCTCAGCCTCCCGAGTAGCTGAGATTACAAGTATGCGCCACCACGTCTGGCTAACTTTTATATATATATATATTTATTTTAGTAGAGATGGGGTTTCACCATGTTGGCCAGTTCGAGTTGGTCTTGAACTCCTGACCTCAAGTGATCCGCCCACCTCGGCTTCCCAGAGTGCTGGGATTACAGGCGTGAGCCACCATGCCCAGCCCAGCCTCCTACTTTGTAATAGTACTTTATCACTGCCTATTGCATTATGGTGAAAAGGTTTGACCAACACACAGAATTCTGTAAGAACAAGAGTTCTCTCATGCTTCTTAGTTTTCTTGAATACTTTGCACAAAGTATGTGCCCAATATGAATTTGGTAAAGTGTGGTAACGGGATAAATTAAATAAACTCAACTTCAGCTTGTTGAAATACAGAGACTACTCCATTTGGATTTTCTCTTATGGACAAAGTGGGGGAAAAAGCAAAACTGTGGTCAGACTTTCACTAGGTTTTTATTGCCTTTGCCTTGCCAGAGCGATATGAAAAATTAATACTTAAGAAGCTAGATATCTGATGTTCAGCAAGAGAGTGCCTCTTACAAGTTTAATGGGTTTGGTCAAGTGGATATTAAATGTAAATCTGTCATTTTATGGAGCCATAGAAGGCTCTTAAGACACTCAATAAATATACTTATTGAATTAGTAGAACTTTTCCCATGTATCTCCTATTACTACATTAGGATCTTTGTTCCCTTAGTGTGTCTTTAGCCTGTGCTCTCACAAGCTTTGTGGTGTCGTGTGGATCACAGGATCGTTTAAGATAAAGATACTTTTAGCTCTTTAATTCTGGTATTCTATTATTGGTACAGGGAACCCATACATTATCTTAATTTCAGAGTAACACACGTCTCGGCATGGGACAGGGGGTGTCCTAATGAAAAGAGGGCTAACAGGTGGAATACTGACTATGTGCAGGCACTGTATAAAGCAAGTAGTTTTTAAATCCCATTTGCAGGTGAGGAAACCAAGGCTCAAAGGGATTAAGTCATTGTCCAAGGCTATGTAGTTGTTAATGAGTGAATCTGGGTTTTAAAATAAATGTGTTAAATTCCAGGGTTGATATTTGCACTGGGCATTTATTTACTTTTATTTGAATTTTTTTTTTTTTGCATTTTACTTGCATGCTTAATTTTTCTTTGCTCAGCAGCAAACATTATGTTCCCCACTTGCTTCCCACTTGCTTCCCTATTTACTAAGGGGTGATAGTTATGTGTTATGTATCTATAGTCCTGTATAGTTTACAGGTATTGCTGTAATACCTGTAATGGGTATTGCTTTCATACCCATTCTCATTTGATCTTTGGTAAGACCCCAGTGAGTCTTTATTATTTGGGTGGGGGGGAAGGGTTTTAATCTCCATTGGCAGATGAGGAAATCAAGATTTGCAGTTTCCTGAGAGATTTGCCAAGGGTGGTAATAAGTGGCATAAAATTGGCTTTTTAAAAAAAACCAATTCCTTGGCCACAATTTATTAAAAAGGCAAATGGAATGGTCCTCCTAGAAAAGATTTGGAAGTTAGCCAGATGTGGTGGTGTGCACCTGTAGTCTCAGCTACTCTAGAGGCTGAGGCAAGAGGATGGCCTGAACCTAGGAGTTCGAGGCTTCAGTGAGCTGACTGTGCCAGTGCACTCCAGCCTGGGCGACAAAAGACCCTATCTCTAAAACAATATGGAAGTGTAAGAAGTTGGGGAAATAAAAGGAAAAAGAAAAAAGAAAAAAAAGATATGAAAGGCCTGGAGCCCTTTCCCCCATAAGGCTCTGCTGACTGGAAGACAGTTTGAAAACCAGTGAGGAATGATCAAAGAACTCTGGTGTCAGACAGACCTGAGTTCAAATTCCAGTTTGGACTGATACTTAACTTCCCTTAGGCTTACTTCCTCATTTGTAAGATGGGATGCTTTTATAGGATTGCTGATAAGTATTAGCCAAAAAACATGCCAGAAATCTATCACAGTACCTTCAGCTTCTGTGGATGCAAGGGGAGTGTGTTAGGCAGTGTAGGCTGACCCCTCACCACGTGCAGGACTCACACTAAATGTTGGGGGAAGTCATTGCTAAGACAGAGCCATAGGACTTCAAACCCAGCACTTCATACCTGACTGAAGGTTCAGGTGTCACATTTATCAATAGTTTAAAACAGGAGGGGGCAAACTTTCTGTAAAGCATCTGAGAGCATCTGGGCCATATGGTCTCTGTTAGAGCTACTCAGGAACTCTGGCACGGTAGCAGGGAAGCAGGCTTAGATTATAGTAAACAAAAGATTGTGGCTCTATTCTAGTAAAACTTTATTTGTGGGTACCGAAATTTTAATTTCATATAATTTTTATATGTCATGAAATGTCATTTTTCTTTTGATTTTTTCTTTCAATCATTACAAGATGTAAAAGCTATCTTAGCTGGTAGTCTGTGTGTGGGTTCTACAAAAACAAGTAGCCCATAGACCAAAGTCCTGATTTAGACATGTCTAGTTTTTTTTTTTTTTGAAATGGAGTCTAGCTCTGTCACCCAGTCTGGAGTGCAGTGGCGCAATCTTGGCTGACTGCAACCTCTGCCTCCCAGGTTCAAGCAATTCTTCTGCCTCAGCCTTCTGACTAGCTGGAAAATTAGCCACCATGCCCGGCTAATTTTTGTATTTTTAGTAGAGATGGGGTTTCACTATGTTGGTCAGGCTGGCCTCGAACTCCTGACCTCGTGATCTGCCCGCGATGGCCTCCCAAAGTGCTGGGATTACAGGCATGAGCCACCATGCCCGGCCTTATCAGTATTCTTAATACCAACAGAGTTTCACATTGTATTTGACACTATTTACAAACTCAGTTTATTCCCTCTGTGTGAATACTAGCCATTTCTAAAATGAAATGCAATTGTGATTTAAATTTCACATATCATTATGCTAAATGCTGTTCACTTTTTGTTCCATGGTCCTGAAACAATTAACCTGTTTGGAGATAAGCTGCAGATACAAGCACACAGAGAAGGGGACTTAGGAAAGCTGGAGGAAGGAAAGGTCTGTCTTGCCTACATATGGGCTTAGGAAAATTTTCTAACTGGAAACCTTGCCTCAAGTCTGAGTCACACTAGTGGGACTCTTGGCCCTAGGGTGGGAGGAGAAAAGGGAGGGAAGGAAGTGGCTATGTCAGTTTTTGTCAACAGAGGGCACCCAGAGCAA
Organism: Homo sapiens; assembly: GCF_000001405.40. Classification (NCBI taxonomy): domain Eukaryota; kingdom Metazoa; phylum Chordata; class Mammalia; order Primates; family Hominidae; genus Homo; species Homo sapiens. The sequence continues at coordinate 35,921,884 of NC_000022.11, read as the reverse complement.
AGCAAGTGTTCTGTGACACAACAGAATCTGCCCCTCTGCCCCAGATGAATTTACCAGACAGGCACAGAACTTCTTGCAGTGGATTCTCTTGTCCATCTCTTCATTTGTCTGATCTGTGTCTGCATTCTCATGTTTTCTCCCATGCTGGAACCAGAATATTCTAAATGCAGTGTTAATAATTGTTATTTGCTGACTGCTTTAAGTGGAAGACCAATTCCCTCAATGTGCTGGGGTGAATTATCCCATGTTGTAAGGTTGGCCTTTTGGGTGGATGTGCAGTATTAGCTTCTAATTTAATTCAGTATCCAGTGAGCATGTATTCCTGAAATACTTTTGATGTGAAAGAGCACTTCATACCTGTATAACATGTTGTAAGAAGACTTTGTAAGTCTTATTGCCTAGAGCAGTATCCTCAAAGTGTGGCTTCAAATCCAGCCGCATCAGCATCACCTGGGAACTTACCTTTATTCATGGTCTCTGCCTCTTCCCCAGACTTACTGAATCAGAAACTCTGAGGATGGGGTCCAGTAATCTGTTTTAACATGCTTTGGTAATTCTTATACACACTCAACTTGAGAACCACTGTCATAGGGTAAAGGAGTGGAAGAGTTAAGGGCACTGGTATTTATGGAAGACTATGTGCCAAGTACTTGGCTAGGAGTTTCCTCTTCATTTTCCACATGAGAACAGCAAGCCTTAAAAGCATTAAGTGATTTGCCAAAGTCGTACATAGAATAAGTGGTAGAATAGGGATTTGAACCCTGGTTTTTCTGACTCCTGAGCCATACTATAGTGGCTGGTAAGAAAATGCTAAGAGGCGTTGCAATCTTTAAATTAATTCTTTTTTAAAAGTCCTTAAAATATTTTTTTAAAACAAAAGTAATTTGCATTCATTGAAGAAAATTTAGAATATACAGCAGATCAAAAGAATAGAATAAAATCTGCCTTAATATATTTAACTTTATCTTAACGTTTTGTTGTTGATTATCTTGTTTCAGCGTAACTCTGTTTGCATATATACACATTTTAAAATTCCTTACCAGATGTCAATCATATTGTGTAAACTTTTGTAAAATGCCTCCAGCTCAGGCCTACTTTATTATAAACATCGTTTCATGCCATTAGCTATGTCTGCTGCATCATTTCATGGCTGCCAAGTAGTCCCTTGTAAGGTTGTAAGCTTTTTTATCATAATTCTTGCTAAAGTCCGTCTTGTTTTGATTTCATGATATGCTTTTAGGAAGAATAGGATACTGAGTGCTTTGGTACTATGGGTAAACAATTTGTCCAGAGTGGCTTAAAGTATAAAATTAAGGCAGTAAGCAGATTTTGGTTGAGAAGGGGACATGGAACTGGAAAGGCAATACTAAACATGTTTGAGGTTAAAGTGAGCCCAGAAATAAGAAAACAAATTGAAGTAAAAAAGCCAAAGTATCAGGAATAGACTGGGATCTGTGAGTTAGATGGGTTAGAACAAATAGGAATACTGATGGTGAACAATTTGATGGCACCAACAGCCTGCTTTTATTGTTGGCTTTTTGACATAGAGGCTGAGCTGCCGAATGACAGCATGAGAAAAACTGGGCATAAGACTTCCATAAATAGCAGTTATTATTTATTGAGGACCTTCATGACCAGGCATCATATTAATCATTTAATTTTTATAATAACCACATGCAATTAGATACATTAGTTTTCCCCATTTTACAGCAGTGGAAACTGACAGTGACATTTAAAGTAACTTGGCCAAATGCTTTGATTGGAACCAAATTAGTTAAAACTCCCAAACCTGTGCTTTTATGCTGTCGTTTATCCTCATTCTTTTTTTCATGGTGTGGCAGGTGTTTAGCCACTATTCTGTGTATATGTATTGTTTTACTATGTGAGCTGGGACAGAAGGAGACTAGGTGTGTAAGAAAGGACACTAAAGTCCACTAGAGTGGAGGTGGACTTGAAGAACAAAACAAAACTAATAGCCCAGTCGTTTTCGTAGGAAAGGTGTAAACCTGAGCTAGATAGTGCAGTGAGCAGAGGATGGGAATAGCAAAGTGAATCATTGATAGGAAGGAGCAGGCAGGCATTTGGAAACAAGGGATGGCTAGAAGAATCAAAGTTCCCTCATTAAAATTTCCTTCCCAAAGGAGGTGATATACTCTCCAAGGGCACTTTAAAACAGCTTTATTGAGATATAATTCACATACTGTACAGTTCACCCATTTAAAGTGTGTGGCTTTTAGCATGTTTACAATCATTCAGCCATCACCATCACCACAGTCAGTTTTAGGACATTTTTAGTATTCCACAAGAAACTCCATTCCCCGTAGTTATCACTTCTTTTTCTTTTTTTTTTTTTTGAGACAGTCTCACTCTGTTGCCCAGGCTGGAGTGCAGTAGCATGATCTCGGCTCACTGCAACCTCCGCCTCCCAGGTTCAAGCTATCCCCCTGCCTCAGCCACCTAAGTAGCTAGGACTACAGGCGCATGCCACCTGCCTAATTTTCGTATTTTTAGTTGAGGTGGCATTTCGCCATGTTGGCCAGGCTGGCCTTGAACTCCTGACCTCAAGTGATCCACGCGCCTCAGCCTCTGAATCTGCTGGAATTACAGGCGTGAGCCACTGCTCCTGGCCAATCATCACTTCTTAATTCCTCTATGCCCACTACTTCCCCAGCCCTATGCAACAAGTGGTCTCCACTTTTCTACAGATTTTGCCTATTCTGTATACAGTTTATATAAATAGACTCAATAGAATATGTGGTCCCTTGTGTCTGGCTTCTTTCACTTAGCATAATGTTTTCACTTAGCACAATCCATGTTATAGCAGTACTTCATTTTTTAATTGCTAAATAATACTTCATTATGTGGATATACCACATCTTATTTAATATTTTTTTTTTATGGTGGGAAAACATGTTTTTATGTTGGGAAAAGAAAGGTGAAGAGACTGAGACAATAAATAGGATTATTTTCCTTAATTTAAAATGGGAGGAATAGGTGACTACTATGAAAACCAAGGCTATCAGGCTTTCTTGAGGAATTGCAGCTAAAGGCCTAGGTGACAGGACAGTTGGCATCTGCTGCTTCATGAATTGTTTGTAGCAGAGTGGCAGCTCTTTTGACCCGAACACGTGCAGTATTCAGGGAGCTCATTGTGTAAATCTTGTGTGTTGGCCAGCACCATTGCCCCCTACAATACCTCATGGGGAACTGGAGAGGCCTTTGCTGATCTAATCTGGATACATTTCCCTCAGTTACTGCAGCTCTGGGTCCCCAGAGAGTCCTCTCTAAAGAGCTGCCAGTTTGTTGAGTGCTGGCATTTGTAAGATTATTTCTTACTATATGATTCGTCCAGTGAAGATGACACCCATTTATGAGGTCCTGATCTATTAAGCAGAAATAGCAACCATCATTCCTGTGTTTTTGGAATGAATGCTGACTCTAGGGCCCCTGTATGCTTTCTCAGCTGTAGAGTTTGGAGGGCTCCTTTAGCAAGCAAACAATGTGCCCTTCTGGGTGCCAGGTGACTTTACTGTTGTTCTGTTGATTCCTGTTAATTACTTTCTTGATTTAATCTCCAAGGAATAGAGATACCTTCATAAAATGAGTGGTATGGCTCAGGATGTAAGTCTTTTTAATTTGTACACCAGAAATGTTGTGGATGGCTTTCTACTTTGCCAGAACTTTCAGTTTAGTTTAGAGAGTGAATTGTAATCATTTGTCTTGATACCCTGGCCCTTTGGCATGTCAGCCCTAACACTGAAACAAGAACTCTGGGTAGAGGACATCAGCTTGGCCCTCAGTTCCTGAGCCATTGAATGTCAGCGCTACATTTAATCATATCACCCCCGTTTTACATTTGGGGAAACTGAGTTCCAGAGAAGTTAGATGACTTACCAAATCCATAGTCTTATTTTCTTATAGCTCTTGCTAGTGGCAAAGCTGAGTCTGTGATATTGAGCCTTCATTCTCAGTGGAGTGCTTTTTTCCCAGTGCAGAGCTGTTTCCTGAAGAACATGTACTGTCATGACCAAGGAGTGGCCAAGCCCTGCTGTACTCCATCAGCAGTGCAGGCTTTAAGGTGTATTTGAGAGTTTGACAGATTGCGATTGTGATGATGAAAATTTATAGGAAAGAGCAAGAGCACTGGTTTGTGAGTTTGCACGCCACTGACTTACAGAACCCAGCCCCTTCTGGCCTCCCCTTCTCCCAGCCTCCCGTGCAGTGCACTGTGTCCAGTGAGTATCTTCATGACTACGTGATTATAATTCCTTGAGAGCCCCATGTCTATTTGCTAAAAAATAAATATGTGCTGCTACACTAACCTAACAAGCAGTCATCTTGTAGTTCCTGCCTGAAAATGTTTGATCATGGTTGTCAACTCTATGCCTGCTATAATTTTTGCCTAGCATAATGTGAAGAGAAAAGATAAAAATCCTTCTCTCACTGTGCATTTTCACTGTCCCCTCCCCTCATTCTTAGTGTATAGAATTCCAGAATGGGCCTTGCTTTCTGACATTTTCCTGCCCCATGACCCTAACAGATCTATTCAACATGACCCTGACGGCTGAGATAGATCTAAACCCAGCCCCTTCACAGTGGAACACTTAAGCTGGGTAGTAGTTCCATACTGAGACCCCTTTCAGTACTTTCTCTTCCTCCCCTTCTTTTTTGTTGTGTCTTCCCCTACCAACATGAGCTCCTTTTTAGGGAGAAGTTGTATCCTTCACTCTTTTCCCCCATCACCTAGGAGTTGCTCAATATAGTCATTAAATAAATTTTGGCATTCTCATGCTGTTTACCATTCATGATGGGATGGGTAAGATGCAGGAATGCTAATAAGGTTGTCAGATGGCCGTGTTATTCCTTTATAGAAGTTGTTTTATGGTCCTTAATAATAATTTATAGTACCAGGTACTATTTACTGAATGCTTGCTATGCATCAGGTATTGTGCTAATGCACATATGCACATACCATCCACTTTTCATTACTCTTTTTTTTTTTTTTTAAATTTTTCAGATAGAGTCTCTCTGTGTCTCCCAGGCTGGAGTGCAGTGGCGTGATCTCGGCTTGCTGCAAAACCTCCTGCCTCAGCTTCCCCAGTAGCTGGGATTACAGGCATGAGCCACCATTCCCAGCTAATTTTTGTATTTTTAGTAGAGACGGTTTCATCATGATGGCCAGGCTGGTCTCGAGCTTCTGATCTCAGGTGACCCGCCCGCGTCAGCCTCTTAAAGTGTTGGGATTACAGGCATGAGCTACCACGGCCGGCCCACTCCTCATTACTATTAACAACCACTCTCCTGGCTGGGCACGGTGACTTGTGCCTGTAACCCCAGCCCTTTGGGAGGCCGAGGCAGGCAGATCACATGAGGCTAGGCGTTCAAGACCAGCATGGACAACATGGCGAAACCCTGTCTCTACTAAAAATACAAATATTAGCCGGGTTTGGTGGCCCATGCCTGCAATCCCAACTACTTGGGAGGCTGAGGCACGAGGATTGCTTGAATCCGGGAGGCAGAGGTTGTAGTGAGCCAAGATCATGCCACTACACTCCAGCCTGAGCAACAGAGTGAGACCCTGTCACAAACAAACAAACAAACATGCAAACACCCATTCTCTCTATAAGGTGGACAGTAGAAGCCATATTTTACCAATGAAGAAACTGGGCTTTAGAGAAGAGCAAGTCACAGAGCTGGAAAGTGGTAGAACAGGCATTTAAATCTAGGTTAGCTTGATACCGAAGCCTATGTTTTTAGTAACCATACTGAACCTCCTTGAGTAGTTAATTTGCTGAGCATTACTGTGAAAGAGAGCTAAGTCACTTATGTTCCCTAGGATTTATAAATGAGACATCTGTGTTAGCACAGGGCATTAGTAACATGATTTAGATTAAATCTGGCTTTGGGATTAAAGAATAGAGACAAAGAGGAGGCATACGGAGCCTCTGCCACTTAACTTCCTGGAGCTGATTTGCTTGTGCTCAGTATTGAGGAATCTTTCCTCTTTGAGTGAGTGTAGAGTGGTTTTGGGTCATTTGTAGTCTACACAGTTTCTGAGAGATGATCTGTCCAGCAATTCCAGATTGTTTAGGGTGGGCCTGGGAGAGGGTATGGCTTACTCCTCGTTTCTGGTGCCGTATTAAGGTGAACTAGAGCTGATTCATGTACTGGTTGAGACTGTAAAAGGACTTCCAGGTTTAGTCATTCTGCAGGAGGCTTTCTCTTTGGTTTAACTGTAGCTCTTCATCCCTCACCCTGGTTTACATAATTGGGACTTTAAAATTTCATTGTGGCTGTAAGAACAAAGGGAATGCACTTTTCAGCAGCTCCTTACTGACCAGTCGTGTGGAGTCCCTGTAGTGTACTCAGGGAGAGCGGCTGCCTCTCTGATTCTCTGCATAAAACAAAAGTATTTTGTACATAGCTTTGAAATGGGAGAGAGAAACTTCTGAAGAAAAAAAGAGTTGTTTGGGGTAATAAGATTTTGAGGAGGCAGACACTTCCTGCATTCTCCCCTGGGGAAAGAATCTAGCTACAATTGAAGGGCATTGCCTCAACTAATTTAGTTAAGTGGCCCCGTCCTGGATTAATAACTTGGGCAGACTTCCCAATGGATTTGGCAGGGTATTGGGTTTCTCTCTCCCCAAACCCTCCCTTCTCTCTGCCCTGCACATGTGTGCTAACATAATTACAGAAAGTTACAAGGGGATGGGGCTGCTCTTAAAGGAGGTGGCTCAGAGGAGAGAATGTGATTGTGTAGTCCTGTCATATTTCCGAAATGGCAGAGTTCGAGTAAAATGGTAGGGTGGAAGCAAGCAGGCTGGTTTCTCTCTGTAATGGCAAAGGGGGAGGAGGGTTGGTGGCAGTGTCGATTTCAAGCACCTAGAGCACACGAGCACTGGGTACTAATTTTGTGCTAGAGAAATATTAAACTGTCTTTTTGCATTTGTTTGTCCAGATTGCATTACTAAGGATCTGGTCATTACAGAACAACCTTTTTGATTAAGGTCAGAAGTTAACAGTTTTTCAAGTTTGGTGGTCAAGTGTTCAGAAATATTTCACAGATTTAGTTGAAAACCTGAGCAGATGCTTTTGCTGTTGTTTACCCCCGGGGATCGGGTGACATTCTTCTCCCTTTTCCTCTTCCCCACCCCTTTGGGAACCAACCAATCACGTAGAGGAATGGATTTCAGTGCCTAAGGAGTCAGCCAACTCCGGAGCTGTAGCTGAGACTGAATGTTTAACTCTTAGGTATCTGAATCACAGGGAATGGCAGACATTGCAGTTAGCTTGTTTTCTTGTTGGCATCTACTCTCAGAGCCCATCCCTAAGGGATTGTTCCTAATGAGGCGAGGTACATTGCATTGAACTTGAAGGAACTGGCTTTTAGCCCCAATTCTGCCAGTAACTAGTATTGCAACCTTGGAAAAGTTATTTTCTCTTTTTAGACTTGCTTCTCTTTATGCACAATGAGAGGAAAAGGAGAAAATGGGCATGTATGGTATATCACTATATATTCCAGTGGCGTTTTATCGCTAGCCTTGAGGTTTAGGGGAAAAGCATTTAACCTGTATTGAGTGCCTATTCTGAAGCAGTTTGTTTTTATTTGTTACCTTATTAAATTCTTATGACTCTGCAGGGCAAATGCTGTTAACCCAATTTTACAGATGAGAAAAGTGTAGGCTAGAGAGGCTGTCCAGCTTGCCCAAGGTCACTTAAGGAAGGCCCATCTGGCTCTAATGCCCAGACTCTTCCATTCCACTAGGCTGGCTAAAAAGGCCCTAGAAGTCCTGCCAGCATTTTCACTCTGATATTCTTTAACTCCTTCACAGCTTTTAATCCTGCCCTGTAGGAGGACCAAACATTACTGTCTCCTCTTTCACAGCCCCGCTACTAGAGCAAGTAAATGACTTAGGGATTCCTCCATCACCTGAAAGCAGCAAAAGAAGATGGTACAGCATTCAATTTTCTCCTTCCTCCATAAAGAAATTCCCGTCCTTTATAGCCAGCTCTGCCCACCCCTTCCTCATTCCCCTTTTCTTAGACAGGCAGATATTTTCTTTTCTCTTTCCCTTTGGCTTGTGATTATCAGGTAAATATCCCTGGTTTGAGGGAGGAGCAGAATTTTGATTAGGTTAAAAAATTATCTTTACCCATAGCCTTTCTATGACATAGATACTACAATATTGGGTTTATCCCCACCTGGAATTTCTATGATATCTATATCTATAAACCTATATAGATTTATAGATATCATAGAAATTCCAGGTAGGAGTAAACCATATATATATCGGTATATCTCTATCCATCTATATATATATATACACACACACACATACATATACACACATATTATAATGATATAATTATATATGTATACACACACACACACACACACACACACACAATAGAAATAACAGGATATATATATCCTGTTAGGCGCTCCCTTAAAGAGCTTTATTTTTTTGCTTGTAAATTATCCTAGCCATCTGATTTAATAGATACACCTTACCCAAGAGAACACTTTCTGTTTCTCTTCCTGCAGATCTTACTTTTTTTACTTTTTAAAAATAGAGACAGAGTCTCACTATGTTGCCCAGGCTGATCTTGAACTCGTGGGCTCAAGCAATCTTCCTTTCCTCCTCTGCCTCTCAAAGTGCTGGGATTATAGGCACCAGCCACTGCAACTGGCCACGGTTTACTTTTAAATTCACAGAGAAAATAGCTTTTTAAAGGTGAGTTCTTATTAATATTTTGGTTACTTCCAATTAAAAAAAAATTACAGTAGAAGCCCTAAAATGTCAGATTTGCCAATAAATCATTTTCTGTCATTTGTTGTGGGCTAAGAAAAATGACAATAGACAAAACCATTAACAATTGAAATTTATTAAGAAAGGCACTGGCCTAGGTGTTTTATGTACATTATTTCTAATTTTCATCTTAATTCTGCATTTGTTGATTACAAAACAGGTTAAGAGGGGTTAAAGTACTTGCTCAAGGTCACTGCTAATGAATGGTGATTTGGCAATTTGATTGTAGGTCTGTTTCACTTTCAAACCTCAGTTCTTTCTTCAATGCCATGCTGCCTCTGGGATATGATCTTGAGAGTTTTATTTGATCATTCATGCTCATGCCTCAGCTCAGATCACCCCGGAAAACCCATATATCTTCTTTTAAAAAGGGAAATACATTTTATATGATAAGTTTAACAACTGAAAAAAAATTAAAAGAAGTATTTCCTGGTGTTTGCCAACTTTTACAATCAGGTGACTTTTACTGGTGTTTATTTTGAATTATTTTTGTTAAAGTTTGGATCCATCCCTTGTTTTAAGTGAAAATGCTAAATAGCTACTCATCCTCAGGTACTGGAGAGCTTAGGGGATTTCACTGTGAATTGGGTGGACAGGAAGAGGTAGGCCTTAAAGGTTAAGTAATATATAGGTAGATGGAAAAGGTGGAAGAATTTTCTTGCGGTGAGGAAATGTTATTGCTTGCTCCATCACTTGGTACATCCTGTGTTCACACCATCTGTTTGAGCTCCTGAGAATGTTGATGGGAATCTAATGAAAGATGGGTTGGTATTAATGAATGCTCATGTTCTTCTCCCTTCCTCTCTTGAGGAGTTGCTTGTGATTTAGCTCTGCCACACTTTATGTTGGGCTTTCCCAGTGGTGTGCTCTGAGAGATTCATATAAGAGAAGTATACGTAGTATGCTGTTTCTGCCATCCAGATCACCTCAACAAATAGTTCCATAATGTTTATTATGTGCCTGTTATATGCCAGTCAGTTGGCATGACCAACTGATGATGCTGAGATAAGATGTGTCATTGCCCACTAGGCCTTTACGTTGAGTACAATTTGCAGTCTCATTCAGGATACAAGACCTACAAACATGGAATTAACAAAAAAGAAGTATGTATTTAAGATTAAAAAAAAATGAGTGAACCAAGACCAGCAAATGTTGTTGAGGTTTAGAGATGAAAGGGGTTAGGATTTGCTGGAGCAGTAAAAACAGGGTTCATTAAAAATTTTATCCAGAGTATGGAGTGGGGAAGGGCTGGGGTGAGATGGGATATGGGTCATGCCACTGCTAGTGAAAGGAAATTGAAAATGGCTCATTGGATTAGAATAAGGTACTTATACCTTCTAAAATTGTTGATGGAGTCATAGGCAGAGATTGGGAAGGGGAGATTCCACCAATTAGCATTTTAAGTGAGGAGTGTAACGATACCAGCAGCTAATGTAAACAACACCAATAATAACAACTTAATCCCTGAGATCACAATTTTTAGGAAAAATTTCTTACATTTATTTATATTTTGGCTCCCTTGATTAGCTTTCCTCTGATTAGAGAATGTGGTATCCTGTATATTAAAATACCTTTACTCTTGTTGGATTTTTAAAAGATGCAAAACTTTAAGATAAATCAGAGGTCGATTAAGACACCAGTAGGCCTTGTTGCCATTTCCATTTCCCATATGCATTGATTACTGTGTAGCAGTATTCCTGATGATTGTTGAATATTTATGAGGTTCTCTCCCAAAAAAGCCCACCAAGTGAAGAACTATCTTTCATTTTTTAAGTTCCTGAAAATTACCTAAAACTCTTCTGTAGGAGATGGCTTTTACAAAGAAGATTCTTTCCTTCTCCCTTCCCCCAACCCATAGTAGCTTAACTTAAGTACCTGGGGGAGATAAAGATAAATGTGGGAAACTTCAGGATGAAAGGGACATTATTAGAGACCAGAGAAGTCCCGGGAGGTCATATCAGGCTTAAAGTGGAAACTATGTTACAACCTAAGCAAGGAGCAACTGATAGGTCTATAAATAGGGTTTTATCTCCTCCTAGAAAATTTTTGTCATGGTTATAGCTTTCCATGTGGGGGACTATTATATTTACTAAAAATAAACCGTTTCAGAAATAATTAAAATAAGTCCCACTGAACTCATTTATGTTATTAAAAGTAAAGTCATAGCCTGAAAATAAGTTTATAGAGTTTGGCATGTACTAATTTTAAGGAACATTTTGATGCTGCAGCCATTGCTTATATATGGGATAGAATGGTAAAGCCCAAATGGATTTGTATGGATTAAAATAGATTACCTTCTCAGAAAATAATGTTATTTCAGTTTTTTTCCGCTAGTTCAGAAGACCCTCAACCTCCTTTGCATGCATTCAGACACATAAGTTGGCATTACAAATGAATCATCTAGGGAAGTGGGAGTACTTCTAATTCTCCAGGAATCTCACACAGTAAAGCTGCTTGGATATGGCTATTCAGAACAGAAAGGTATAGAAATGGACAATGGTATCCCTTCCATTGGTATTCCTTCTGGGCAACAAAAACCCTTAAGCTGTCTGAGTCTGTTTCTCACACTTCTGTTATCCTGATTGTAGCCCTTTAAATTGTGGAGCAAATTCTTGGCATCTGTCTGCCTGTCAGCTACCTATCTCTGACACCCCTGGATAGCTTGTTTTCTTCCTATGAGTATATGTGAAATTTGTAAAAAAGCATCTATTAATTTAAGTATCCTGTTAGAAGCCTGCGAAAATTCAAATTGGGCAAACAATAAAATTGCTTAAACCGTGTTTCTCAAAGTTAATTTGACCATAGAGTACTTTTCAAAATATAATGAATTGAATAACACAGCATCAGTATGACTCACGTACAATGTGTGTGTGGATTAAAGTCACCAGAAGTAGTGTTAAAAAGATGAATTAATGGCTTCAGGAAGTGACTTCATTGGCTTTTTTTCAAACTTTAAACATTTTGGAGAAGTTAAATCATTTTAAGTATAAAAGTTAAAGAGATTCAGTTATATTTTGTTTAAAGAGCAAAAAATCATGACTTTGTTGAAATTAAGTAAATATTTATGATTGTCAATCATCAAAATAGATTACATTTGTATTGTCTATGCCTTTGGGTACAGGTTAAAAATTATCTTCTTTTTCTGCCTAAAAAAGAAAGTAAGGCCCGGCACAGTGGCTCACGCCTATAATCCCAGCACTTTGGGAGGCCGAGGTGGGTGGATCACCTAAGGTCAGGAGTTGGAGACCAACCTGGCCAACATGGCGAAACCTGTCTCTACTAAAAATACAAAAACATTAACCGGGCATGGTGGCTTGTGCCTGTAATCCCAGCTACCCAGGAGGCTGAGGCAGGAGAATCGCTTGAATCCGGGAAGCGGAGGTTGCAGTGAGCCGAGATTGTGCCACTTCGCTCCAACAGGGGGACTCACATGTTACCCTTATTTCTCGAAGACATTGCTCGGAGACATTGCACTTTTCATGATAGATTGTTGCATACTAAGTAGAAACTATATTTGTATTTAGTATTTTTCTTTTGAATGAAGAAAAATATTGCTAGCGTTACTTTTAAAATTGTTGTATTACCTTTTGACAACTTGTAAAATGCTAAAACAGGGTTACATATTTCAGGTGTATCTGACTTCCTAATTACTTTAAGCCTTTTACTGCTGTTGTTCTTTTTCTCCCCTTACAACCTCTCAACTCCCTTCTTTCCACCCATACTTTAAAGAAGGAAACTGAAATTCCTGATGTAATGTATATTTTTTCATATATATATGTTTAAGAGACTGGGTTTTGCTATGTGGCTTAGGCTGGTCTCAAATTCCTGGCCCCAAGCGATCCTCTCACCTTGGCCTCTTGAGCAGCTGCAACAAGAAGCATGAGCCACTGCACCAAACCTGATAACAATGATTTTCTGAAAGATAGCGAGATGTGCTGGGCGCAGTGGCTCACTCCTGTAATTCCAGCACTTCGGGAGGCCGAGGTGGGCAGATCACGAGGTCAGGAGATCGAGACCATCCTGACTAACACAGTGAAACCCTGTCTATACTAAAAATACAAAAAATTAGCCAGGCGTGGTGGCGGGCGCCTGTAGTCCCAGCTACTTGGGAGGCTGAGGCAGGAGAATGGTGTGAACCTGGGAGGTGGAGGTTGCAGTGAGCTGAGATCATGCCACTGCACTCCAGCCTGGGTGACAGAGCGAGACTCCATCTCAAAAAAAAAAAAAAAATAGATGAGAAATTGGATGAAAGAGGCTTGGCAAGTTCACTGAATTCCTTGAGCCCCAAACCTAAGTTTCTGCCTATTTAATAGGTTTCATCTAGTATTTTTTATTTTGTGACTCATATTTACCAATTGGCTATTGTGGTGGTAATTGTAATGATAACAATAGTATATATTGCTCTGTTTACATAATAGCCTAACATACAGATGTTGAACCATCCACAACTTAGAATGGTTCTGCTTAACAGTTTTCTGACTTTACAATGGTACAAAAGCAATACACATTCAGTAGAAACCAATGTTCATTCAGTAGAAACCATCTGAGTACCCATTTTTTCACTTTTATTATAATATTCAGTAAATTACATGAGATATTCAACACTTTATTATAAAATAGGCATTGTGTTAAATGATTTTACCCAACTGTAACCTAATGTAAGTGTTCTGAGCATGTTTAAGATAGGCTAGGCTAAGCTATGATGTTTGGTAGGTTAGGTGTGTTAAATGCATTTTTGACTTACTATATTTTCAACTTATGATGAGTTTATAGGGACAAAATCCCATTGTAAGTTGAAGAACATTTGTTCTCTATTTGGGTTTGACAACATCCCTGTAATGTAGGCATTATTAACTCCATTTTGCAGGTGAAGAAACTGAGTGTATCCATATTTGACTGTTTCTCATTATACGAATTCAAGAATGGTTAAGTTAAAATTTTATTTCTATCATTTTGGTGTGGAATAGTTATGGATAGTAGATCAGAGTGATACACCAGTTGACTTCTTGGCCTAAACATTTGAAATAGACATTTCAAGATTCTTTGACAGTCTCTGTTTTGGTCATCAAATGTGCACACTGTTGATGTGCATAAAGCTTTCTGTTGTTTCAAGTGAAATTGAATTTTGGGTAGAGCACAGTGGCTCACACCTGTAATTCCAGCACTTTGGGAGGTCGAGGCAGGTAGATCTCTTAAGGTCAGAAGTTCGAGATCAGTCTGGCCGATGTGACAAAAACCCGTCTCCACTAAAAATACAAAAATTAGCTGGGCATGGTGGTGGGTACCTGTAATCCCAGCTACTTGGGAGGCTGAGCACAAGAATCTCTTGAATCCGGGAGGTGAAGGTTGCAGTGAGCTGGAGTCACGCCACTGCATTCCAGCCTGCGCGACGGAGCGACACTCTGTTTCAAAAAAAAAAATCGAGTTTTGATTTGTAAGTTAAAGTAAATAATTTATTATTGAAAACATTTAGGATTAAGTTCAGCTGCATATAACAATCTCCTCTTCCCCACACAGAATCTTAACAAGAGAGAGATTCATTTGTCTTTCATGAAAAAGAAGTCTGAAATTAGGCAGTCCAGGCTAATATGGCGCTGTCTGGTTACCAAGGATCTAAGATCCTTACTGCTGTTTACTTCTCTGACTGTAGGATGGGCCTAGATGATTCAGCCATCATTTCCCCCTTTCCACAAAGCAGTTTGAGAGGAAGAAAAGAGGGGTGTCCCCTCCCCTACCTAAGAAAACTTCCAGGAAGTTCCATGTAACATTTCTGCTTATATCTCATTAGTCGGAATTAGTCTTAGGGCCATATGTAGCTGTAGTGGAGGATGGAAGATGTAGTCCTTTTCTGGGGAAGCGTGTACAGTAATATGCTAAAATGAAAACTGGGGTTTTGTTACTAAGGAAGAAGAGAAGAGAGGATATTGGGAAGCCACTAACATTCTCAGCTCCAGGGCCTATCAGAGTGACCCAGCCTTATCTCCCACATGATACAGAAGACCATTCTGCGGCTTCCCTGGGAGATTTTCAACCAGTCTTTGCCATGTTTTCCAACAAGATGATTTTTTTCTTGAAATGTATATACTTTTATGCAAAGATTTTTTAAAAGCTAAATAATACAAGATTATGGTAAGGATCACTGCAGTTTCCATTTTAAGATCAAGTTTGAGTTTTTTTCCAAAATTGATTAGTTTGTTGGAAATGGAAATTCAAATGGTATAGAAAGTTTTTTGGTTTTTTGTTTGTTTGTTTGTTTGTTTGGGACAGAGTCTTGCTCTGTTGGCCAGGCTGGGATGCAGTGGCGTGATCTTGGCTCACTGCAGCCTCCACTTCCTGGGTTCAAGCAATTCTTGTGACTCAGCCACCCAAGTAGCTGGACTAACAGGTGTGTGCCACCACGCCCGGCTAATTTTTGTATTTTTAGTAGAGATGGGGTTTCACTCTGTTGGCCAGGCTGGCCTCCTGACCTGAAGAGATCTGCCTGCCTCAGCCCCAGAAAGTGCTGGGATTACAGACATGAGCCACTGTGCCAGGCCATAGAATGAGGTTTTAAGTAAGAATAAAGTATGTGTGAAATATTTAAATATCTGACCATTGGTAAAGGAAAAAGTGTGATTTTTTTTCTTTTGTTTTTTGAAGCCTGGGTAAGTCATTAGATTATACATTTCTTAGGGATAGAGAACTCACTTTTATAAAATGTATGATTATTGTATTTTGAATAAATAACATTTACATAAGTTAATATTTTAAAAGTAGAAAATGGTCATATCGTGAAAAGTTGCTCTCCCATTCCTGTCTTGAGTTCCCAGTGTCTTTCCCCTACAGGCACTGGGTGTTTTTTACTTCTTGTGTATAATTCCTCCTTTGATCTTTTCCTCCCATTTAAAAAACCACTGGTTTTAAAACCATTGCTAAACCTTTCTTTTTTCCACTTAATGACATATGCG
This sequence comes from Homo sapiens, assembly GCF_000001405.40. Taxonomy (NCBI): domain Eukaryota; kingdom Metazoa; phylum Chordata; class Mammalia; order Primates; family Hominidae; genus Homo; species Homo sapiens. The sequence continues at coordinate 35,906,127 of NC_000022.11, read as the reverse complement.
GTATGCATGGCTTAATGATAAGGATACTTTTTGAGAAATGTGTCATTAGGTGACTTCATTGTGAAAACATCATAGAATGTACTTACACAAACCTAGATATATACCTGACTATATATTATATATGGTACAGCCTAATGCCTTTAGGCTGCAAACCAGTACAGCATGTTACTCTACTGATTACTGTAGGCAATTGTAACACAATGGCAAATATTTTCATATTTAAACATATCTAAGCATGGACAAGGCACAGTAAAAACATGGCATTATCATCTTACGGGACCACCATGACATATGTGTTCCATCATTGACTGAAACATTGCTATGCAGTGCATGACTCTATTAGAGTATTTCATAATGGTATTTTAAGAGCTTCCTCATCCCCCTCCCCCAAGGCTATACTGTTCAGTGTTTCACTGTATGGATAAGCCATAATTCATTAAACAGGAGAGTCATGTCTTACTTACATATCTATACCTGCTCTGTAAACGCATTCATTCATATTCAAGGGACTGAACTCTTGAATTTGTGCAGAATATTTCTCTTCTTCATGGCTGAGTATCCTAACCAGCTGAGAGGATTTTCCCTTCTTTAAAGACCAAGGTATTTAAGATTCAGTCATTTCAGAAATAAATCCTTCTAAATTGTGTTGTATAACTATAAAATTTATTTCTTCTTAACAGTAAAATAGTGGGCATTTTTAAATGGTTTTAACACAGGTATCAGCATCAGTATTGTTTAGGAATATAAAAGAGTAATATTTCAGGAGCTTTTGCTGGTTTTGCCTTACTAAGTGGCACCATTTTGACATATATCATCTATCTATTTTACCTGCTTTTTAGATTTTTTTTCTCTTCATCTTTCTTGTTTCCTATGTTGGCTGCCTCTAACATAATATTCCTTTTTCCTCTGGTACTTATTCCCCACTGCTTCCCAGTTCCTTTTCTTAATTTGCTTTGTAAATTTTTGGTGGACAATTAGCCAGATAACCAGGACAGAAATATTCCTAAAATAAAAATAAATAGATTCAGAGAGAAGGTCTGATGGAGTTTTCCTGCCGATGAAAATTTTGGAATGAATGTTTTGGAATTCTGGATACCTAGAGGGCCTTTTTGCTTCCTGGTTATTACCGTGTTCTAGGACAGCTCTGTCTAATAGACCTTTCTGTGATGATAGAAATGTTTTATGTCTGCCCTATCCATTATGATAGCCACTATCCTCACGTGGCTCTTGAGCACTTGACATGTGGCTAGTATTAAGTAACTGAAATTTTAATTTTAATTAAGTTAAATTCACATAACCACATATGACAGCTGGCTGCGTGTTAGACGACGTAGTTCTAGACTCTAGTTAACTAACTTATATACAGCAAGCTTGATTAGAGGAGAGCTTGAACTGGGATGCTATTATTGTGCTGAGAAGAATAAATTTATAGTTTTGGAAGGGAGACAATTTGGAATGTAGATTATCAGATTAGCTTAAAGTAAATGATTAAATTGGAACTGCCTTTTCATATTGACGTTATGATTATTTCACAGTGTAGCATTTTAAAGCCATTGTTACCAGCATTTATTTGTGGTTTGTATCTGTGGCAAAGCTGTGAGTCCTTTTGGTAACTAGGGTGAAATTAGTAGCACTCTAACTTTATTTATAGGACTTGGTTAGACAGTTGCCTGAGTGCCAGAAACTCCTGCAAATAACTTTGACCTTCCCTAACAAAAAGTCAAAGGATAAAGCGTTTCATAGTAGAAGATTTCAGTTGTATCTGACATACACAAAACATTACTTTCTAATGGAGAAATCTGTAACCAAAAAAAGCATAAATAATTAAAGATTTTGGTAACTGCTAGGAAGAACATAAACAGGGCACAGTAACAGAGAGTACGGGCTTGTGGGGAAAGACCTCCAACTAGATAGAGGAGTCTGGAGAGTTTTATTTGAGGAAGTGATATTTAAGCTGAGTTCTAAAAGATAAGAAGGAGCCTGGCTTGCAAAGAATGAAGGTGGAACGAGGAGGGATTTCAGAAAGAGGGAATTAAGGGGTATGGGGGAGAGGAATTGACACAAAATCAGTGTCTTTAGAATAGTGATTGAGAGGAGATATGGTATGAAGTGAGGTTGGAGAAGTGGGCACATAGCAGGTCATATAGGACCTTAAAGACCATCATAAGGAGTTTGGAAAGAAAAATGTAATGTGATGCCGTGGAAGTAGGAGAGTGATAAGATCTGGTGTTTGTTTTACAGAGTTTCTCTGGCTGCTGTGTGATGGTGTTTTGGAAGGGAGCAACAATGGAAATGGGGAAACTAGTGTGATATTCAGGAAAGAGATGATGGTGGCTTGGGTTAAGGTGGTTTAAGGCAGTGGAGGTCAAGTGAAGTCACACACACAGAAGTTGCTGTAGGTTGGATGTGAGGGATGAGGGGTGAAGGAAGGGTTTCTGGCTTTCATAATTGTCAGGTAGTACCAGGGGACTTCAAGGGTGGTGATGGTGGAGAATTAAGGACCCAATTTTGGGCATGTTGAGTTTGACATGCTTGTGTGACAGCTAAGTAGTCATATTGGAGCATGGGGAGAGGTCTCTGCTAGGGGTGTAACTTGGTAGTTATTAACATGTTGATGGTATTTGAAGTGATGGGAATGGATGAGACAACTTAGAGAAGATGACTCAGGATTGAACCCCAAGGAACACTTGCCTTTTAGAGGTCTGTCGAGGGAGAAGCCATAAAAAGATACTGAAACAGTAACCAGTGATGCATGAAAAAACAAAAAAAATGGCATTGTAGTATCTCAGAAGCCAGAAGAAGAGAATGTTTTAAGAAGATTGTCAGCTTTGTTGAATCCTGCTAAGAGGTCAGATAAATGTGGAAGTAGTAGACCTTGATAAGTTGATTTAATGGAGTGGAGGGCTTGGAAACTTTGTTTTGAGTAGATTGAAGAAAATGAGAAGTGAAGAAATTGAGACAGATATAGACAACAACTTTTTCAAGATAATTTACCCTGAAGTGGTGAGCAGGGAAATAGCAGGTAGCTGGAGGGAGATGAGGGGTCAAAGGAGAACTTTAAAAAAATTAGGGTTCATTTAATCATTTACTTATTATAGAACATTAGATTTAGTGGTAAGAAGATACTGTCTGAATGCTTCTCATTTAAAATGACATAGAAAATTAGCTAAGAGGTTGTGTGTAGTGGCTCATGGCTGTAATCCCTGCATTTTGGGAGGCTGGGGCAGGAAGATTGCTTGAACCCAGGAATTCAAGACTAGTCTGGGCAACATAGTGAGACCCGCCCCTTCTCTAAATTTTTTTTTTTTTTTTTTAATTAGCTGGGCGTGGTGGCATGTGCATGTAGTTCCAGCCACTTGGGAGGCTGAGGTGGGAGAATAGTTTGAGCCCGGGAGGTCAAGGCTGCAGTGAGCCATGATCGCACCACTGCACTCCAGCCTGGGCGACAGAGTGAGATCCTGTCTCAAAACAAACAGACAAAAAGTAAAATAAGAAAATTAGCTGAGAGTAGGTAGTGAAGAGTGAATGAGGGAGGTTTGAGGAGAAGCAAGAAATAGTCATTTTGGGGAGTAGGAAAGCTTTCAAGGGCAGCTTTGGTGGATTGCTTGGCATCGTTGAGTGTCCATTTGAGGTTTGTGATCATGAATATATAGTGAAGTCAGTCAGCTTGGTTATGTGATTTTTCTTCAGCAACATTCAGCTGATTGGGCATAGGCACTAGAAAAGGCAGACAATTGGATTTAACCAGGATTGGAGTTGTGTCAGGTGGCAGTGATGGAGAGGACAAATGATTGAGGGTATTTGCAAGGGAGAGATTGTAATTATGGAACACGGCATCAAAATTGGACAAAGAGGGTGCAGAACCGGAGTGGGTAGATAATGGAAAAGTGGTTGGGATGGGAGGACTTCATGACGTCAAAAATTGTAGGGAGGGGATACCAGAGAAAGCTAGTTAGAAGTAAGGGAAGTTCTTTGAGAGTATAATTGAAACGTAATAAGGAAAGATGGGTCTTTTAAGATGATGCAGCTTTTCTTCTCTTTTTTTTTTGAGACAGAGTCTCACTCTGTCGCCCAGGCTGGAGTGCAGTGGTGCATTCTCAGCTGACTGCAACCTCTGCCTCTAGGGTTCAAGCGATTCTCCTGCCTCAGCCTCCTGAGTAGCTGAGACTACAGATGCACCACCACACCTGGCTAATTTTTGTATTTTCAGCAGAGATGGGGTTTCACCATGTTGGCCAGGCTGGTCTTGAACTCCTGAACTCAAGTGATCCGCCTGCCTCAGCCTCCCAAATTGCTGGGATTATAGGTGTGAGTCACCGCGCCCAGCCAAGATAATGCAGTCTTCTGTTTTAGGGGTGGTAGCTCTGGGTTTCCTAATAACTGGGAGTAAGAGCTCTAACAAATCACTTAATTGCCTTTCCCAAGAGGCTAGCTTTGAGATGGACCGCTTTCTCCATGTATATATACATCTAGAGCTTAGTTTAGACATCATAGAAGGTAACCACCATTCACAGAAGTTTCTGGGTCTATTCTCTGAATGACATCAGTAGTAGCAGTGTTTTGGCCAGTGCACAAGTACAGTATGTGTACACCAACTCCCAAACCCTATCTCTGTCGTTTGTTGTTGTTTTTTACTTTTTTCTTGAGATGAGAGTTTTACTATGTTGCCCAGGCTGGTCTCAAACTCCTGAGCTCAAGCAAACCCTCCTGCCTCAGCCTCCTGAGAAGCTAGGATTACAGGCTCACATCACCACACCTGGCTTCATTTGTTATTTAAAGTCTTGGTAATGGGCAGAGGTAGAGTGCAGGGTTATTTATATCCAGGGTAAGTTTTTCAGTGATTTTTTTTCCAGTCTTGATTCAGTTTTGTCAGTGAATAGGTATGATTTAGTGGAAATGATCTTGGAGTCTTAAAAACGAACGTTGAACTTTTGGCTCTTTATTCACTAGCTGTGAGACCATGAGTATATTATGTAACCACTTTGGGCCTCAATTTCCTTTGATCTGTGAAAAAGATAACAGGGCCTGTCTTACAGAGATATTGTGAAGATGCAATGAGATAATGCATGCAAAGTTGTGGCACATAATATGCTCTGAGTAAATAGTAGCGGTTGGTGGTGTTACATTGAAACCAGCAAGTGGGAGAGGAATGTTCACTGTTTTGTCTTCCAGGGTGGTTTACATCCCCTAACTGGAAAGTGGCAGCCATATCTACGCCTTCTCCCATGAGTCGCTACTGCTGCATGTGGCCAGTGCCTCTGTCTAGACCAGCTTCTCAGATTTCGGTGTGCCTGAGAGTTACCTGGGGCTTTTGTTATCATATGATTTTGATTTTGTAAGTCTAGGGTGGGGCCTGAGATTCTTCAAATCTAAGGAGTTTCCAGTTGATGCTCATTCTGCTGTTGCTGGTCCATGTGTCACATTTGAGTAGCAGAATTCTGTTAGAGATTGCCCTGTGGGAATCCCTGCTATTTTAAGCTGAGAGGAAGTGAGGGAAAAAGAGCCTCATTCTTTCGACTTTTTTTTTTTTTTTTAAGTCAGCTTCATAGACAATACTCATACATCTCATTTCTCTACCTCAGTGTTGTTTTGGTGAGTCTGTATTGTCTCTACCAGTCCAGGAAGTGATAGGAATATAAACTATGTATAGAGGGTTGCCTCAGATTTCTTCTGAAGAATTTTTAGTGCCTGATTTCTCAGGTACATTTTTGAGAAATTGTGCTGGCTCCCCCGGTATACCTACTTCCCCCCGCTATCCTCTTACAACCACAGAGAAACTCGTATAAAACAAGTAGCCTGCCAGCCTGGCCAACATGGTGAAACCTTGTCTCTACTAAAAATACAAAAATAGCTGGGTGTGGTGGCAGGCGCCTGTAATCCCAGCCACTTGGGAGGTTGAGACAGGAGAATCACTTGAACCCGGGAGGCGGAGGTTGCAGTGAGCCGAGATCATGCCACTGCACTCCAACCTGGGCCACAGAGTGAGACTCCATCTCAAAAACAAACAAAACAAGTAGCCTCTTGAATTATTGGAGTCAGAGGCAGAGCATCTAAAATGTGGCTCCAGACCCTTTCTGCCCACCAGACTCACATTGCAAAATCCAGCATTTTTGAGATGTAGGAATTCAGGAAGCAAGGTTAGAATTATTGGCAATACCCATATTGCTGTCCCAGATTATCTGATTTTTCTTTCTCAGAAGCAAGCATGCCAGAAACTTCTTCTGTGGGCCCTCCTCAGAAGACTTTCTTTAGTGCTCAAATGGACACATTCTCTCCTCTGAACTAACAGATAGGGTGATAAGCTATCAGTCACAAAGTCTGATAACATGCTCTCCTGATAGAATGAAGTATGTGTGCATCTTAATCTCTGTGTATAAGACTGTGATTCTTTTTAGAGTCTCTTTATAGTGTGGAGTTTTTACACCTTTTTGTCTCTTAATGTGAATTGTATATAGCTATAAAGCATAGCTTTCCTTATTTGACTTTGATAATTGGAAATAAATTTTTTTCTTCTCCTACCACTTTGTTCCCCCTTTTTTCTTTCTTTCTTTTTTTTTTTTTGTTTTGTTTTAAAGGTAGAAAAATGTGAACATGCAGGAGCATGAATAAAAAAGATAACTTAGCTTCCCTGTGGGTTTTTGGTTTTTGTATGTTTTCATAAAGGTAACATACAGAAGAGTTTTATTTCTGACCAGACTGACCACCTAATTTTAAAGATTATGATCAGAAAAGAAATAGATGCATTTATAATAGGAATTTACAAGCCCTTCCTGTGGTTCCAAAGAAGTTTATGGTGGTTCCACCCATGGGAGTTTCAGAGGTAGTTTGCAGAGTTTTTGTGACATATTTAAACTTTTCTTTATTTTGAGGGTTTCTTTTCTTGGTATTTTTCTCCTGCTTTGCTGCAGGGTATGTCTTTTATATTTTATTTTATTTTATTTTTTATGTTTGTTATGTTATGTTATGTTATGTTATGTTATGTTATGTTATGTTATGTTATGTTATTTTTGAGACAGAATTTTGCTCTTGTTGCTCAGGCTGGAGTGCAATGGCTAGACCTCGGCTCACCGCAACCTCTGCCTCCTGGGTTCAAGCAATTCTCCTGCCTCAGCCTCCTGAGTAGCTGGGATTACAGGCATGCGCCACCATGCCCAGCTAATTTTTGTATTTTTAGTAGAGACAAGGTTTCTCATGTTGGTCAGGCTGGTCTTGACCTCAGGTGATCTGCCCGCCTCGGCCTCCCAAAGTGCTGGGATGACAGGCATGAGCCACCACGCCCAACCTTTTATCTTTATCCTATCCTAAACTTGATTAAAAGATAACACTATAAAATTACAGTATGAAGATCCAGAATTTCATTGTATTTATTTTATTGATACTTGGTTAAGAATGAATGACTGCCAGTGGTCATGGTGGCTCATGCTTGTAATCCCACACTTTGGGAGGCCCAGGCAGGTGGATCGCTTGAGGTCAGGAGTTCAAGACCAACCTGGGCAACATAGTGAAACCCCGTTTCTACCAAAAATACAAAAAAATTAGCCAGGCGTGGTGGCGTGTGCCTGTGGTCCCAGCTACTCTGGAGGCTGAGGTGAGAGGATCGCTTGAGCCTGGGAGGCAGAGGTTGCGATGAGTCGAGATCACGCCACTGCACTGCAGCCTGGGCTACAGAGTGAGACCCTGTCTCAGAAAAAAAAAAAAAAAAAAAAAAGGATTGTGGGAGAAGATGGCGGCCGCTGCACAATCCCGGGTTGTCTGGGCCCTGCCAATGTCACATTCTGCCATTACTGCAATAGCCACATCCGTGTGTCACAGCCCACTCCATTGCCAGCTTCATCATGCCCTCATACCTCATGGGAAAGGTGAATGTTCCTCAAGTCAGTGGGATTGTGGCCACTGGGTTTGGAGCAACAGGATTCCTGGGCCGATGTGTTGTCAACCACCTTGGACGCGTGGGGTCACAGGTGATCATACCCTATCGGTGTGATACATGTGACATCATGCACCTTCGTCCCATGGGAGACCTGGGCTAGCTTCTGTTTCTGGAATGGGACGCGAGAGATAAAGATTCTATCTGACGAGTAGTGGAACACAGCAATGTGGTCATAAATCTTGTTGGACGAGACTGGGAAACCAAAAACTTTGATTTTGAGGATGTTTTTGTGAAGATTCCCCAAGCAATTGCTCAGGTGTCCAAGGAAGCTGAAGTTGGAAAATTCATTCATGTTGCACATCTGAATGTGAATATTAAAAGCTCTTCTAGATATTTGAGAAAGAAGGCTGTTGGAGAGAAAGCAGTGAGAGACACATTTCCAGAAGCCATTATCGTAAAGCTGTTGGACATCTTTGGAAGAGAGGATAGATTCCTTAATTATTTTGCAAATATGTGTTGGTTTGGTGCTATACCCCTTGTTTCCTTGGGCTGGAAGGCAGTTAAACAACCAGTATACGTCGTAGATGTATCCAAAGGAATTGTTAATGCAGTTAAGGATCCTGATGCCAATGGGAAAACCTTTGCTTTCGTTGGGCCAAATCGATATCTCCTCTTTGACCTGGTGAAGTACATCTTTGCTGTGGCTCACAGCAAAGGGGTACTTCCTCCCGTACCCCTTGCCACCTTTTGCCTATCAGTGGGTAGCAAGAGACTTTGAAATAAGCCCATTTGAGTCCTGGACAACAAGGGATAAAGTGGAGCGTATTCACATCACAGACATGACCTTGTCTCACCTGCCCAGCTTAGAAGACCTTGGTATTCAGGCAACACCACTGGAACTCAAGGCCATTGAGGTGCTGCGGCTTCATCACACTTACTGCTGGCTGTCTGCTGAAATTGAGGATGTGAAGCTGGCCAAGACCGTCAACATTTAGTGCCTCCCGAGCAACTCTTGGTTTTGGTGTCTTTTGGGTCAGCCCGTGTGGTTTGAGCACCCAGCCAGGTGGTCTCTTTAGAGAATCCTGTACACAGTGAATAAGATCCCACCATTAAAACATTTGAGGTTAAAAAGAAAAAAAAAGAATGAGTGTCGAGTAATAAAAGACTCTTCAAAGAATTTGAAAAAATGAATCTCTTATCAGTGTAATTTTAATATAGTTATTTACAGTATGGTATGGGGAGTGTTGGTGACTTAAGATTTAGGGCATGAGCCATGTAACTAGAGAGGAAAGTTGTGTATAAAAACTGATTATGGACATGTAAAAGAGTCTAAGTAACACTTTATGGAAAGTCAAGATTTATTTTTCTTTTTTTCTTTTATTTAGAAAACAGGCTATCTCAGTTTCAGGCTTGGAAGTTCTTTCTCCTCTTTTGTACTAGAAATGTAGTAATCTTGCCTTCAGAAGAAGCAGAGAGGTTCTATGTAGAGAAAAAGAAAAGGTTTGGGTGAGGCCAAGAAGAATACCTGCCCCACCTCTCCAAGTTTAAATGAGCTGGGAGTTTAAGGTGGGAGGAGAGAAAACGTTCGTCTGCGGAAAGCATGCGTTCAGTGTGAAAGAAAAGGAAAAGTGATTCTATTTCTACCCTAAGAGGAAGAAACCCCACTATGGCAGGTAACTAAGCCCAGAGCACGCACAGTGGGAATATTAGGTAGGGAGAGTGAAAGTACCTGCATGGGGCCTACCTTGAATGTGAGACTTGTAGACCTTACTTGGAGATTTTATAAGCAGGAAGGAGCTGTTTCAGCATGTCTGAGGGGGAGCCAAAACCCTGAGGCAGCTGGAAGGTGGTTTTTGTTTGCTTTTTATTTTGTTTTGTGTTTTCTTTAATGAGTGGGAAGGAGTGGAATATTCCTCAAAACCTGTTACCGTTTGAGAATGTTTTGTGCACCTACTGTGTGCTAGGTACTATGCAAAAGACTCCATGGCCAAAAATGGATGAGCCAAGACGAGATGTTAGGTCTCCACTGAGGAAGATGTGCAGAGGAGAAGTGGTTTGCTATAGGAATACTTGGAGAAGTAGCCCACAGAGGTGGTCAATGCCATGTTACAAACACCAGTCCCCACAGAGAAAGGAGAGCTCACTCACAGCTGGGGTTTGCTTTTGGATTTGAACATGGAGAAAGGGGTCGGGGAAGCAAGGAACACGTATGGGCATTGACATTGGCATTAGAATATGGGGGATAATTACGTGATTTTCTGAATAAAAACCATTAGGACAGGTGATTTGATAATACTTGTTCACCACTGGGCATAATGAATGAAAACTCGCCTGGCATATAGGAAGTACTTAATAAATGTTTGAACTGAATTAAAATTAGAAAACATGGTCACCAGGAACATGGCAGACAGTTTACGTAGTTATATCATTACAACACCTCTGAAAGGAGTATTAAACCTATTTTTTGGTAGAGGAAACAGAAGCCTGGACAGGTTGGAAACTTTCCCCAGGCCATAATGATAGTACTTGTAGATCTAGAATTGAAACCCAAGCCGTGCACCTTAGCCCGTCTGCGTGGTGAGTAAAGTGTCTGTACCATGCTACGAGCTCATGATCCACTTGACTCCTTCAGAAGCCAGGCTATGTTGATGTGAACTAGGGCAGTAGTAATAAAAAAGATGAAAAGCCTATTCAGTTTTATATCTTAAGTTTTCCTGTGTTTTGAAATCTTGCAAGATTAAGAATTATTAGTGGTGAAATGACGTAAAGAATAGTGGTGTCAAGCACACATTGTGAGAAAGGAATGTGGGCTCTGAGCAGGTTCTGTGTGTGTGCTTGGCTTCTGCAAGGGGCTCCACAATTGGGGCAGAGGGAAAGCTTGGCTCACTTGCCTTGATCTTAGAGGGCAGAGATTTTTGATTGCTTCATTCATGTTTAAAGAACTCATCTTAAACTAATGTATATCTAGCACTAGAAACTGGTGCTGGTGGTTTATTACTGACCCCACCCATCCCTGTCTTTTGCAATAATCTTTGTGAGTGGTGATTGTGTTTCTAGAAGTAGAATTGCAGAGAGAGATTCCCTGAAGGCAAATACAGAGAGAGTGTGCTGTACACTCTAGTTCAGATACTCAGAGCTGGGAACTCCCAGAGAGAGAGAGAGAAAGAGAGAGAGAGAGAGGGAGGGACGGAGGGAGGGTGAGAGGGAGGAGAGAGAACAACAGAACAGTCAGCTGGAGCGGAGGGGGGAGGAGACCAGTCTTTTCTTTTTTTTTTTTTTAGGATTTTTTAACTCAAGTGATTTTGGGGGGTTTCTCCCCACCTCAAACTCTTGCCCCCCAGTTTTGGCATCTTCTTTCCTGTGGTTCACTGAAGTGCCTTTTTGCAGTCCAGGATCCACTGACCGCTGAGTTTGAGCAGCCCGATCTGACATGATGTACCTCTGGGTGAGTACAGAGTGCTGTGGGTGAGGGTTTGCACTTGCACATATAAGGAGTGGAAAGCTGCGAGGTTCTGCTGTTGCACAAATGGCCTCCCCACAGAGCACAGACTGCCACATCCCCTTCTGTTCCAAGGTGTTAGGTTTTTAAAACCTAGCGGTGATTGTGACATTGTTTTTTTTCCTCCCCCTATGTTGTTTATCTTGTCAGACTTAGGCGCAAGGGCTGAACTCCCTGCGCAGTACCATCCCCTGGGCTTGGTAGGTTTGGAGAAGGCAAGTGGGGCAGGTGAAGTTGTGAGCTGGTTGCTTCAGGAACTGCAGTCTTCCTGGTGGCTCAGGATCGACTTGTGTTTTGTTTTGGGGGTACTGACCTTGTTAAGCCATGTCTTTAGATATTGAGAGCCAATAGGCGGCATGATTATTAATTAGGAATAAGCTTTCATAAGCTTTTATCTAATAATTTTTACTATCCTTCACAATAGTCTTGTGAAATAGGTCACTCACTACTGTTATTAAAATTGTGTGAGGAAAGTAATTAAGCCACAAAGAGTGACTTGCCCGTAGTTAGAAATCAAGTCTATAGCAGTTAGAATAGTAATTAATAATGAGACATTATAAAGCATTTTATATTTGCCAGGAATGTAGTACCTTCTATTACTGTAATTTACCGTCAATAGTAGCATTGTAGTTTGGGATGGAGAGAAACTTTCTGGGACTGGAGAAGTTTGTAAATTATGAAATGTGATAACTTTTAGAGAAATGTCAGGGGAAATAATAGAGAAACTGCTCCCCCAAGCCGCCTGCAATTTTTAGTTGTTAAGACAAGAACATCTTACAGTCCGTTGCAAAGATGGCAGTATGTCTCTTGAGCAAACAGCTGTTGTGTGTTGCTAAGGGAGCCTACTAGATGTGATGCTCTTGGCTACTAACCAGCTTTTTGAAAGTTTCCCTTTGCCCTTTGCCCTTCAGCCCAGATGTCTGGAATTGCAGGAACCTACTTGGCTAACACAGGCTAAATTTATAAATTATCAGAAAGCAAATGTTAACTGCGTTTGCAGAGATGGAGCTTGTTCACAGAAGATGTATATGTATGTGTGTATGTTCGGAGGGGCTGCTTTTCGTGCTTCTCCCTTCATGTTTAAATATGACCTTGAAATATTATTTTCTCTTCTCTATTGATTTTTTTTGTAGTATTTGTAAGAGCTCAGAACTTTTCTGACACACTAATGTGCATTAAGTAGTTTTCGCCTCCCTGTAAACTAGTCATCTGTGCAGGCTCTTTGCAGCCTTGTGGGTGGGATTGATCAGCCCTGTTGACCTGAAGGATGGGCTGTTCTGTCTTTTGATTTGTTTGGAAGAGGAGTTATGAAAGGAAGCAAGTTGAATTAATCTCATTTTCACTCACTTATGTTTGATGAAAGCAGACAGTGACAGTCTCCTTAGTTATTTCCTTTGTGCTTATGTTACAGTTACTTGTGTATTTATCTCAATTTTTTTTTTTACTTATTAACCCTGGAACAGAGCTTCCCTACCAATGCTACATGCCAGATTGAGATAGAAATATGCCAAGATTACTATACCCCACAACCCTTGGAGCAGCCAGCTGGGGCTTGGGAGTCCCCTGGTCACTTTGATCATGTGCACCCTAATTTGTTTACCACTTTGTGCTATAAAAATATTTCCTATGTATGCCATGACACCTGAAGGCTTGGGTAGCACTGCCTAGAGGGCAAAAAGCAGGTCAGCTCTATCTCTTTTATTATTTGTGTCATCTAGCCCAATGCCTTTGTTTACTTCATTGAGGACGTGCAGAAGGAGCTATAGCGAATAATGCCCAGATACATAGAAGGAAGCCTTGGTGGTCACGCATTCAGTGGGAGGCACAGAGGAGCTGCTGTGGACTAGGAATAGGAGATGAGAGTTTTAGTGTAGGTTTAGCCAGTACCAAGCCATGTGACTTTCGGCAGTCATATAACTATTCTGAGACTCAGTTTCCACATGCGTAAGATAATTGAACTGAACCTCTTCTGATTCTGAAATTCCATGAAGTGAATTTTATGTAACAGTAGATATGCCTGAAAAATGCCCAGTTCTGCAAGGATGTTTAGGTCTAGGTGATCAGAGAAAACTGTCAAACATACTGTATCACCTCCCTTGCATGCTTGGTTTGGTACCAGTAATGGGTCAAAGGCACTCTTTCTGAGTATTCTAGAAAAATTACTGGACTATGTTCAGTTGTCAGTACCTCTGAATTGGTGCAGATGGGCATTTTTAGAACCTGTAGAATTGAAGAGTAAAAGTTACAGCTTATCCAAGCATTTTCATTTGTGTAGTTAGATGCAGCTCATTAATTTGCTCCTGTGTGTCTAGAACTCTGAGATAGAATGCTATCTTGTGCGCTCTCTATGCTGCTTTGCCAGATTTTCTCCCCGCTTTCCTGTTGAGTCATCCTCTTTTTTAGTGAATTTGGTAGCGTCAGTTGGCAGCATGAGGTGGTGAAAAGAATACGGGTTTCAGAAACCTCACTAGGTCTAAATCCCACCCCTGCCATTTCCAAGTGTATGACTGTTAAGTTACTTAACCTCTCTGAGCCTCAGTTTCATTTGTCATATAGGGAAAATAGTGGCACTCAGGATTGTTGTGAAGATTTGAGATAATCTATGAATATACTTAACATAGTGAATGGCACACAATAGATGCTCAGTAAATAACTAGTACAAGCCAACTTTTTGCTTTGAACATTTGCATAGGCAGACTACTCACCACTCCGAAGTGTTTTCTGTATCACGTTGAGGGTATCTTTGAATTCATCTAGGGAGAACTTTGATAAACACAAACTAGTTTTTTGTGAAATATTTTTCCTCTTAGTTTGTATGTTAAGTACTCGTGGCTCGGGAGCCCTTGTTAAGGTTGCCTCCTGATGGAGAAAAATCCCCATTATTTGTTGTAAACTTTTTTTTTTTTTTTGCGTTGCACAGTACTATTAAGCATTCATTATGTCATTTATTTTCCCTCTCTCGCCATCATCAAAAACAGGGAAAGAGACAGACAGATATGATTCCTGTACTGAGGCAACTTACTTGTTTGATGATTATGTAATTTATATCCAATAAACATAATTATAGACCACTTACTTAAATTACCAGAAAACAGGATATGTTCTCCCTGTCTGTGCAGTCTTAGCTGGACAGGCACCAGGCCCTCTCTTATTCATGCTCTATATGGATGAACTTCTGGATTTTATTTTGAACTGTTGTTTTTTCATAGTTCAATTCTGTCTTCTTAATAAATCAGTTCAGCCAACATTTAATGAATGCCCATAATGGGTAGAGCCAGCTGTTGCAAATACAAAGATGATTAAAGATTAAAGACATAGTGTGCCCTGGCCGGCCTTAGTGGCTCACGCCTGTAATCCTAGCACTTTGGAAGGCCGAGGATGGCGGATCATGAGGTCAGGAGATCGAGACCATTCTGGCTAACATGGTGAAACACCGTCTCTACTAAAAATACAAACAATTAGCTGGGCATGGTGGCACGCACCTGTAGTCTCAGCTACTCAGGAGGCTGAGGCAGAAGAATTGCTTGAACCCGGGAGGTGGAGGTTGCAGTGAGCCGAGATCACGCCACTGCTTTCCAGCCTGGGCAACAGAGCGAAGACATAGTGTGCCCTTAACAAATTTATAACACCATGGTAGAGAATCTGTATGCACAGGTAATAATGATTTTTGAATGCTATTCGAATCTGTCTACACAGATAATAATGATTTTTATATGCTATTCAATTAACATACATAAGTGAAATCCTTTTATGTGCTATTTCATCCTCACAACATTGCTAAGGACTAAGTATCATTATCCCTATTGTACAGGTGAGGAAAGCAACCATGAGAGAGTATATGACAAGCAGTAAATGGCAGACCTGGAAACGCAATCTCATCTTTTAAAAACTATGGCTCTTATTTCATTTTATGCTAGCTTCTTTTGGGAGAACCTGATTTTTTTTTGTTTCATTTTATTTTATTTTAAACTGTCTATTGAGTGATAACATTTACTCCTCAGTGCACCTGAGTGTTAGCTATTATCTTCATTTTACAGATGAGAAAGCAGATATTTCAGTAACTTGCAAAGTCACACAGTTTGCAATTGTCAGAGTTAGAATTTGAACTGTGGTTTGTCCATCCCTAAAACTTGCTATACCACAATTAGCCTCGTCTTGTATTTGTTCAGTGGTTTCCAGTTTATCAGTATAGTAGTCCCCCTTATCCATGGCTTCACTTTCTGTATCTCTAGTTACCCAAGGTCAATCACACTTCAAAAGTATTATATTTTGAGAGAGATAAAGAAACCACATTCGTGTAACTTTTATTATAGTATATAATTATTCAGTTTTATTATTAGTTATCATTAATCTCTTACTGTGCCTAACTTACAAATTAAACTTAATCGTAGTATATATAGAATTCAGTACTACCCAAAGTTTCAGGCATCTACTTGGGGGTCTTGGAATATATTTCCCACAGATGAGGGACACTACCTGTACTAGCATTCAGCATGGTACAAGGCTAGAGTAGAGAAATGAAAATAAGGAAACCTGAATTCTGTTTTCATCACCCTTCGTTACTTGAGACAATTACTTAACTGTGTATACCTTGATTTTTCAGGTTACGAAAAAGATATATTCTTAGGAACATTCATGGAATAATCTTAGAAAAATGCATATCAGTCATTTTAGAAATGAAGTAGCAAGTAACTGATGGCTTTATCATAAAACTTGAAAGTCACAGACTGTGAGTCAAAAGATACAGTTTCGGGTCTTGGTTGTGCCATTTGTCAGTGTATCATCTTTCTGAGCATGTTTCCTAATCTTTAAAATGGGACCAAGAGATTATAGAGATAATCTGTGAAAGTTTCTGGAAGTTCTTTTGTGTGAGGCAAAAATAAGCTAATAACAACACCTTATTCAGGTTTCACGTTAGTCATTTAGTGCTTTTTATCACTATTTTGCCACTCTAATTGCTCTACACAATTAGAGAACTAGACTTAATAGTAAATTGAATTATCACAAAATGTAGACAATGGCTCAGTTCAGATAACATTTAAGGTCAGATGCCGTGATAGGTACCGTACTTGACAGTGAAAAGCCATTAAAAGATTCTAAGTAGGATTGGGAGTAGGGTGAAGTGAAGTTTATAATTAGATTTTTTAAAAAGATACCTACATAGATTAGAGGAGAGTAAAAGTGCAGAGAGAAGTTAGGTGATTGTTGTGTAAGAGTCTGAGTGACAGGGAAGGTCATGATAGAATGGGCTGGAGGGAAGCGGAACTGTATTGAGAGATTCAGAAGGTAAAATTGACAGGATGTTATAATTTAGAAGAGGACCAGGTTTTTGTAGGAGGGAAGATGAAAGGGATCATGGGTTTGGTTTTGGATTTAGTACTTGGGTAACTTTGAGATGTTCAAGAGGAAATATTGCTTACATGGCCACCTAGGTCTGGAAACAGAAGGAAAGACAGAGGCTTTCCTCTATTGTGAGAAACCTGCATGCCCCGAGCGGGTCTCATAATGGCTTAAAATGATAACGGTCTAGGGAGGAATGTAGAGCAAGAAGAGAAGTTAATGCCTGGAGAAGAATGAATTTTCTTTTCTTTTCTTTTCCTTTTTGAGATGGAGTCTTGCTTTGTCACCCACCCTGGAGCACAGTGGCATGATCTTGGCTCACTGCACCCTTCGCCTCCTGCATTCAAGCGATTCTCCTGCCTCAAGCCTCCCAGGTAGCTGGGATTACAGGCACCCACACCACGCCGAGCTAATTTTTGTATTTTTAATAGATATGGAGTTTCACCATGTTGGCCAGGCTGGTCTTGAACTCCTGACCTGAAGAGATCTGCCCACCTTGGCCTCCCAGAGTGCTGGGATTACAGGACTTAGTCAGTGTGCCCGGCCAAGATTTTCAAAGGAAGCAGGGAACTAGGTTTTAAAGACCTTATTCTTAAGGAGGAAAACCAGGACATTAGGAAATCAAGATAAGAGATTGTGGCAAGACACTGAAAACTGTCCTTGGATTTAGCAATATGGAAGTCATTGGTGACTTTAGCAAGGGTTATTTTGGTGGAATGATGAGGGCAGAAGCCTGAGTTTAGCAATATGGAGGTCATTGCTGACTTCAACCCCTCTTCCCTTTCTGCCATGAGTGGAAGGAAGCAGCCAGAGACCCTCACCAGATGCAGGTGCCAGTGCCACACTTCTTGCACAACCTGCAGAACTGTGAGCCAAATAAACCTCTTTTCTTTATCAATTACACAGCCTCAGGTATTCCTTTATAGCAACATTAAATGGACTAAGACAATAGCCTAGAGCAATGGGCTGTATTGTATAGCCTAGGTATGTAGTAGACTAGACCATCTAGGTTGGTGTAAGCACACGGAACCTTGATGTTCTCACACAATCAGATTGCTCAGTGATGCATTTCTCAGAACACATTCCTGTTGTTAAGTGATACATGACTACTATATTGCAGATTTGAGGAGTGAAGCAAGGTATAAAATAGTAATCTCAAAAAAATGGGGAGTAAATTTACTACAGAGATGAAGTAGGCCTAAGATTTGTGATCATAAATTTGATGTATGTGGTGGCGAGTCAGTTGTGTGAGTTTTATCCAGCAATCTTCTGTTATTTAAATGCAGGAGAGGAATAAGTACATAGTTGGAGCTGCCAAATGAGTTAGACTAAGGGAAAAGAGGACAAGGAAATTAAGATTTTTTGGAGAGGACTCTGTGTAGTATGAGGCCATAGGATCTAAACTGGCTTAGGAGGGAGGTAGAACATAAGAAGGAGTAATAGTGAAAAAGTGGTACATCAGCCTGTAAACTATAGATCTTAAGGAGGCTGGAGAATTGCCACAGGGGTCAAACTACTATTGTAAGCAAACGCTTGATGGTGTGATAATAGAATACTTGAAATTTTTGTAGGTAATGATTGTATTAGAATATGATGCTAGGTGAATGGCTTTAGGTGAGGTGGTGGAAAAATACAGTTGGTGCTAAAGACTTCAAAAAGAAGGCCAAAATGTTGAATCTATGTGGCTGTTGAAGTTATCAGAGTGATAAGACTAACAATGGAGATGAAATCAGGGAGCCCTATTTAGCAGGGGACAGGTGCAGTTTGCCTGGAGGGAAGAGAAGTGGTTTGGAAGCAGTATTGGGAAGGAAGGAAGAGGATATCTGGAAGGTCCAACACTATATGGTAATGGGGAGTAAGGCCGATGCTTGCCCCTGCTGAGGTATGTGATGAGTAAGAAAAAAGTGTTTACTGTAGAAGCAACAGTAATCTCAGGGGCAGTCTGGTTTCCTTAAGATCAAAAGAGTAAAGAGAATATCACAGAAGAGAGGTGAGTGTGTAGAGGAGTTTGCTGAGAATAGCCCATGACCTCCAGGGCGTGGGAGGGCAAGGAAGTGCAGGAGATGGGATCAGAAAAGGCATAGAGAACAGTTACCATTGTAGTTGTTCAGGTATGAGGTAAAAGGGCCTTGAGGTCAGGGTTTGACAATGAGAATAAAGATTTTAAGTAGATAGGAAAGGCTTACGCATGAATGCTAAAATATGGCAAGCTTCAGTTATTTAGGAAAGCCGCCTTTACTATTTGTTTTAATATGACATTTAATGTTAAACAACTATCTCTTTCTGGTCATGTTTCAAATCAGAATATGGAATTTTGTTGTTGTAAAATATATAAATTAAGGACTAAATTTGGAACCAAGTAAGTAAATACTTAGTAGATTTTAAATTGTTCGTTTGGAGGAGCAGAAAATCAGCGTGGTCAAAGCACACATATTGACAAGACGGAGAGGGAGGGTGGAGGATTAAACACCCAAGATATATTTCCTCTGGTCCTTTTCCCAACAACGACAAAAATATATTTTAGGAGTTGTAGTCTTACTTCACTAACTCCCCTTTCTCCTTCTTGGTTCTGGAAAACTGTACAGTCGTGTACCACATAAAGACGTTTCAGGTAGCTATGAACTGCATCATTCATCAGTGCAGTTCAATGCATCAGTCAATGCAGTTGAAGGCATCAGTCAATGCAGTTCAATCTTACGGTGGTTTCATAAGAGTGTATAAATAACAATTGTATCTTTACTGTCCCTTCTCTGTGTTTAGGTACATAAATACCATTGTGTTACGATTACCCACAGTAGAGTATTCAGTAGTCACCTGCTGTACATGTTTGTAGCCTAAGAGCAATAGGTCGTACATACCGTATAGCCGAGGTGTGTAGTAGGCTAGGCCATCTGAGTTTATGTAAGTACACTCTATGATGATCTCACAACTATGAAATCACCTAACAACACATTTCACAGGATGTGTGCCTGGCATTAAGCAGCACATGACTATATTGCTTTTAAAAGTTGTAATCCAGTTGAAAGCATTACATTCCTGTTTAGAATTAATAGGTTTTTCTGAATGTGAGAACTTGGTGCTCCTCTTCACACATTTTTTTTTAGCATCTTTCACTATTATTAAATAAGAGAACATATGTTACTTGTAATTGAAGGCCAGCATAGAATAGACATTCCACAGATATTGGTTGAAAAGTTAATTGGATATTCTAGGTATAATGAACTGTCTGGGTAGCAAAGTGTTCAACTAAAATATTGTGTTTGGGCCGGGCGCGGTGGCTCACGCCTGTAATCCCAGCACTTTGGGAGGCTGAGGTGGGCGGATCACGAGGTCAGGAGATCGAGACCATCCTGGCTAACATGGTGAAACCCCGTCTCTACTAAAAATACAAAAAATTAGCCGGATGTGGTGGTGGGTGCCTGTAGTTCCAGCTACTCAGGAGGCTGAGGCAGGAGAATGGCGTGGACCCGGGAGGTGGAGGTTGCAGTGAGCCCAGATCGTGCCACTGCACTCCAGCCTGGGCAACAGAGTGAGACTCTGTCTCAAAAAAAAAAAAAAAAAAAAAAAAAAAAAAATTAGGTTTGGGTTTCACTTAACCCAAATCTATAGGCTCTGTACTGTCTTCATTGTGTATTAACTTGTACGGTGTTTTACTTGCTTATTTAAATATAGACCATCTATTCAGAGGTTAAATAAATCAAGAGGGAGGTAAGAGTCAGAAGCTTATGTTGTTTATGCGGGGAAACGACCTAGCTTTCATTCCCTAAAATAACTGTCAAATTATTTTTCCTGAGTGTGTGAGATGAACTTTAATCACTGGCAAGATTCTTGTATCCATGAAAATCAGAAAACTGACTATGGTTTCATTGTGTTTCTCATCATACGCTAGTTACATTTCTGTCCCTGGCCTAGTCATTAGCCTGCCATATGATTAGACAGATGATCTTTATGCTCTTGTGTCTCATCTGTAAAATGGGCATGATTTTTCCCAGTAGAATTGTTAAGTATTATTTCTTAGATAAATTGACATTCACATAAAATATTCTTAATGATTTATTTATTCTGCTTCTTGTACAGTACTTGAAATTGCCAGTTAGGTAAAAAACATCATGGTTTTTTTGGCAAGGTGGGACTGAAGGTCTCACTAAACAGTACAGTAGATGCCAAAGGCTGGGCAGGGGTAGGTGGTCAGAGCACGTGTTGGGAAGATCAGTTGTTGCTGTGTCTGTGTTCTCCTCTGCTATATTTAAGTAATTTTAGATATTTATTTTTATTTTTGTGTTTAATTTTATTAAATTAAGGTTATTAAAAATAAGTTTCTTGGATTCATTGAAAATCAAAACCATTTTTGCATGTTGCTCAACAAGTTGCTCTAATATTGGATGTTTGCAGATAATATTCAAACTGGAGAAATTTTCGATTGTTAAAGGCAGTTGGGATTGGAAGAGATAAGAAAACAAATTCCCAAGTGCCTCCTATGATAGGAGGCACTGGGTCTGATGCTTTCATTACTATTATCTTGTTTCATCTTACAACGGGGAAGGAAGATTCAAATGCGCAGTCTTGCTTCAGAGTCAGTACTCTTAACCAATATGTTGTAATACATTCAGCTAGTCTGTGATAGGCAGCATCTAAGATGGTCCCTAGTGATCCCCACCTCCTGATATTCATACCCTTGTGTATTATCTTCCCCTTATAGGCTGGACCTAGTGACTCACTTTGAATGCATAGAATATGGAAAATTGATGAGATGTCACTTCTAAGATTTGGTTACAAAGAGACTGTGGCTTTTATCTTGGGTGCTTGCCCTCTCTACCTTTCTCTCAGAGCCCCTACACTGTTAAGTAGCCTTGTGGGAAGGCCCAAGAGCCAGTGATGTCTAGGCCTAACAGCTAGTGACCTGCCAGCAGCCAGGTGAGTGAGTTTGGTGGTGGATCCTTGATAGTCAAGCTTTAATGATTGCAGCCCCAGCCAACACCTTGACTGCAGCCTTGTGAGAGTCCCTGAACCAGAAGCACTTAGCTTACCCAGCTGGATTTCTGATCCACATAAACTGAGATAATAAATGCTGTTTTAAGCTACTGTGATTGAAAATGAATTGTTACATAGAAATAGATAACTAGGCCGGGTGTGGTGGCTCACATCTGTAATCCCAGCACATTGTGAGGCCGAGGCAGGCGGATCGCTTGAGCCCAGGAGTTTGAGACCAGCCTGGGCAACATAGCAAAACCCCATCTCTACTAAAAATACAAAAATTAGCTGGGCAAGGTGGTGCGTGCCTGTAGTCCAGCTACTTGGGAGGCTGAGGTGGGAGGATCACCTGAGCCTGGGAGGTGTAAGCTGCAATGAGCTGAGAGCAAGAACTTGAGCAAGAGAGCGAGACCCTGTATCACAAAAAAAAAAAAAAAAAAAAAAAAAGAGATAACTACAGATTTTGGTACCAATAGTGGGGTGCTTTTTGGTGAAAATCTAAACTGGGAGTGACTTTGAAACTGGGCAGTGGACTTTTAAGGAGAGTGTTAGTATAAGATTAGAATACCTTGAACACATTATAAAAATGGGACTTTGAGGCGATTGTCACGAGGTCTTAAAGGAAAGAAACTGGAAGAAAGGGGATCCTTGTTATGTAGTGGTAGAAAGTTTAGCAACACTATCATTTATAGTTGTGGAAAGCAGAAAGTGTGTTTCATGAACTGAGAGATCTAGCTAAGTAAACTTCTAAACAAAACATTGCAGATCCCCTCTGGTTCCTTCTTGCTGCTTAAAGTATGAGGGGAAATAAATAAATTGAGGGAAGCACTGTTAAAAAAGGAGCCAGAACTTGATGATTTTGAAAATTCTCAGCCTTTCTGGTTGGCAGAGGGTGATGAAATTGAGACACGGCAAAGATCAATTCAAGAGCCACTCCGGGGAGAATGGCGGTCTAAAGATAAAGCCAAGACTGTGCCTTTAAAGCCTGCTGTTAAGACCTGAGAAGGTAGTGCCTTAGCATCCTCTTCAGTCACACTCAAGGCCTCTCCGTCAAACAATAGGGCTTCTAGCCTTTTTAGCAGGAGCCCAAGGTAGAGGTAGAAGAGTTCCTCTTGGAGAGATCTATGGGTATAGCTTTTGTCTATTGTGGTGAGATATGCAGGAAATCCACTGTAGCTAGGACTGAACAGGAAAAGAAACAGTACAAAATGAAAAGAGGCTGTCGGACACCCCTAGCATTCTGCTGGCAGGAAGCAGGCTGAGAAAGTGCTCAGGAGCTAACACATGCCACCTTTCATCAAAAGGGAAAGATGACTCAGAGGTTGGAAGCAGGAGCCTAGAGATGAAGGCAAAAGTCATGGAGAATTCTTTTCCCAGTGTTGAGACCTAATCAAGGAACTTTCAGTGTTTGCCCTGCTAGATTTCAGAGTCAGTATGGATCAGTGACTCTTTTGTGCCCCCCAATTTCCTGCCTTTCTTTTGTAGAAAAAGTTATGCCATTTAGTGATTGCAAGGATTTTAGAGAACAGAAACCCAGAGGGCAAGTGAGAAAGCAGCCCTAATACTCTGCCATCTAGGCTCCCAGAATGCCATGCTGTTGTTAAATTGCTTCTTTTGGCTTTTGCTTACAAGTCATAAGTACCAGATGATATGTGCAAAACTGAAGCAATCAGGAGAGGATTTCCCACCCCCGTATTTACCCACTTTCTCTCATCAGTATGAATAAACTGTCCCCTCACTCATGAAGCATTTGCATTCCTATATAAGGTGAACCTTCCAGTTGTATACTAGGTCCTATCTCTGCTAGTCTGTTTAGGACATGGATCCAGCAATTCTCTTCCCTCTCTCTGGGATCATCAAGTTTTCTGTCTTTATTGGATTAGTCCCGTCAGCATACAGTTAAGCTGTTCTTCCACTTATTTAAAAATAATACTCTTGACCTCACTTTGCCAGCAACTGCTGAATTTCTTTTCCTTTAAAGCAAAACTCAGTAGCGTTGTTTATATTTGATTATATCTGATTATATCAGTTCTCCTCTTAAACCCACGCAGCCAGGTTTTTATTGCAACCACACCACTGAAAGGGCTCTAGTCCAAGTTGCCAGTAACTTGCATGCTGCTAAATCTAGTGGTCTGGTCTCAGCCCTCATCTTACTTGACCTATCTGTAGAATATTCTATCACTGATCACTTCGTTCTCTAATTCACTTTCTTGGATACTTGACTTGCAGGACATCATACTTTCCTGATTTTCTTCCCACCTCTTTGGAAGTTTGTACTCAGTTTTAAAGTTGTAATATTTTGAGCCAAGTCCTTTCACCTCTTTTTTTGATTCTCTTTCATCCACTCTCATGGCTTTAGTTCTCAGCTAACCAGGAAAGTTTTACCAGCCGGGTAAAATGTTTTTTTCCTTTAACATATATTAAGTTTTCTTTTCTTTTCATTTCTTTTTTTTTTCTTTTTTCTTTTCTTTCTTTTCTTTTTTTCTTTTGAGACAGGGTCTCACTCTGTTGTCCAGGCTGGAGTGCAGTGGCGTGATCTTGGCTCACTGCAACCTCTGCCTCCCGGGTTCAAGCATTTCTCCTGCCTCAGCCTCCCAAGTAGCTGGGACTACAGGTCCATGCCACTACACCCGGCTAATTTTTATATTTTTATTAGAGACAGGGTTTCACCATATTGGCCAGGCAGGTCTCGAACTCCTGACCTCATGATCCACCCGCCTCGGCCTCCCAAAGTGCTGGGATTATAGGTGTGAGCCACTGTGCCCGGCCCTAAGTTTTCTTATAATTAAGAAATAAGAATAAAGGGATAGTGAAAAAACAACTGCATTAGACATTAAAAAAAAATTTCTTCCTTTTTTTTTTTTTGGAGACAGAGTCTCATTCTGTTGCCCAGGCTGGAGTGCAGTGGTGCGATCACAGCTCAGTGCAGTCTCAATCTCCTGGATTCAAGCTATCCTCCTTCCTTAGCCCCTCGAGTAGCTGGGTGGGACTACAGATGTGTGCCACCATTTTTGTATTTTTATTTATTTTTTTGTAGAGACAAGTCTGTGGCTGTGTTGCCACAGGCTGGTCTTGAATGCATGATCTCAAGTGATCTTCCCACCTCAGCCTCCCAAAGTGCTGAGATTATAGGCGTGAGCCACCATGCCTGACCAAAGGTTCTTCCCCCTCCTCCCTGCCACCCGAGACGGAGTCTCACTCTGTTGCCAAGCTGGAGTGCAGTGGCGCGATCGTCGGCTCACTGCAAGCTCCGCCTCCCAGGTTCACGCCATTCTCCTGCCTCAGCCTCCAGAGTGGCTGGACTACAGGCGCCCGCCACCACGCCCAGCTAATATTTTTGTATTTTTAGTAGAGACGGGGTTTCACCATGTTAGCCAGGATGGTCTCCATCTCCTGACCTCGTGATCCGCCCACCTCAGCCTCCCAAAGTGCTGGGATTACAGGCGTGAGCCACCATGCCCAGCTGTCAAAGTTTCATGCAACTAATTAGATATTACCCCTACAGTAACCATCAATCACATTTGAATGCTGTCTATATCTTTTAATCCCTTTTATAATACCTCATGGTTTTTGTCCTTTTTGCCTATCCCTCCTTTCTTCCTTCCCTCCCTCCCTCCCTTCCTTCCATGGCTGGGAATAGTTAAAAAGTAAAAGTTGCTGAAAAGTCAGAATGTTTCAAGATGTAGGAAAAATAAAGATCTTCTAAAATTTCACAGTGAATCTTAGGTTTATAAAAGGGTCCAAGGAATACATGTATTATTACAAGATAAAATAGTTTATTTTTAAAGTAACAATTTCGTTTTTCTGTTTTCTTTTTGGAATACCTCTAAGAAAGAAAAATCATAAAGTATAAATTCTTACAGGTAGAACTGAACTGCTTGAAAAGAAAAGTTGGGCCCAGTGGACTCTGATGATACACTGGGTGTTAAATTCTGTCTGTATGTTCTTGGCTCTCAAATGTATACCTCTAGCTAGAACTCTCTCTAGAAGCTCATATCTAACTGCCTACTTGACATTTCCATCTGTAATATAATAGTTACCTCAAACTTGACATGTCCAAAGCTGAGCTCCTGGCCTTTACTTGCCTTCCTCTGCCCTCAGACTTGCTAAACCCACAGTTTTCTTCTTCTCAGATAATGACATCTTTCTGTTACTTGAGCTAAAAAAAACCTTAGTCATCCTGGACTCCTCTTTCTCCCTCACTGCGGTCCTGTTAATTAGCAAATCCTTTAGGTTCTGCCTTTCAAAAATAACCTAAATTCAATCCATACTAGCTCTTCTTCCTTTTTTTTTTTTCCTCAGTCTCGCTCTGTCGCCCAGGCTGCAGTGCCGTGGCATGATCTGGCTCACTGCAACCTCCGCCTCTCAGGTTCAAGCGATTCTTGTGAGTCGGCTACCTGAGTAGCTGGGATTACAGGTATGCGCCACCATGCCTAGCTAATTTTTGTATTTTTAGTAGAGACAGGGTTTCGCCATGTTGGCCATGCTGGTCTCGAATTCCTGGCCTCAAGTGATCCACCGACCTTGGCCTCTCAAAGTGCTGGGATTATAGGCGTGAGCTGCCGTGCCCATCCTACTAGCTCTGCCACTTCTATCCTGGTTCGGTATTCCATCTTCTCTTGCCCAGGTTTTTGTAATAGTCTGCTACCTGGTCTCGCTATCTCCACTATTGACACTGAAGAATTTATTCTAATCACAACATCTGACATAATCCTTTGAAAATATAAATCTGATCATGCACAAAATCCACTGATGTGTTTCGCTCAGAAGAAAAGCTAGAGTCCCCACAAGGCTCCAGTCAAGCCTGCTCCTAGGTACTTGTTTGACTTTCATCTCCTCCTGTTCTCATTTCTCACAGCTACTTAGGCCTTTTGGCCATTCCTCAAATTTGCCAGGCACTTTGTACAGCTGTTCCATGGTATTCATGAGGGGGTTGGTTCCAGAGCCTCTTAAAGATACCCAAATCCGCAGATGCTCAAGTCCCTGATATAAAATAGTGTGGCATTTGCATATAACCTACACATATTCTTCTGTATACTTTAAATAATCTCTGGAGTGTTTATAGTACCTAATGAAGTGTAAATTTTATGTAAATAGCTGTTATATTGTTTCTGGAACACGATTTACGGTGACAAGGAAAAAAAGACTGTACATATCCAGTACGAATTATTTCTCCTGCCCCAAATATTTCCCATTCATGGTTGGTTGAATCCAGGGATGCAGAACCCACAAATATGGAGGGCTTACTGTACTTGTTTCTTCTGCCTGTAATGCTTCTCTCCAGATATACTCATGTCTTCCTCCTGGCCTTCAAATTTTTGCTCAAATGTTTCCTATTCAATAAGGCCTTTTGAAAGCCATTTTACTTTAAATTTTTCATAGCATTTATCTTCTAAATATTATAAAAACAGGCCATACGGCCAGGCACAGTGGCTCATGCCTGTAATCCCAGCACTTTGGGAGGCCAAGGCGGGTGGATCACGAGGTCAGGAGATTGAGACCATCCTGGCTAACATGGTGAAACCCCATCTCTACTAAAAATACAAAAAATTAGCCGGGTGTGGTGGCGGGCGCCTGTAGTCCCAGCCACTCTGGAGGCTGAGGCAGGAGAATGATGTGAACCTGGGAGGCGGAGCTTGCAGTGAGCTGAGATCGTGCCTCTGCACTCCAGCCTGGGTGACAATATAAATAAAAAATAAAAAAACAGGCCATGCATGGTGGTTTATCCCTATAATCCCAAGACTTTGGGAGGCCAAGGTGGGAGGAACTCCTTGAGGCCAGGAGTTCAAGACCAGCATGGGCAACATAGTGGTACCCTATCTCTACAAAAGCAAGTTTAAAAATTAGCCAGGGTTGGTGGGACACACCTGTAGTCCTAGCTGCTTGGGAGATGGCATGCACCTGTAGTCCTGGCTACTTGGAGGTTGAGACAAGAGGATTGCTTGAGCCCAGGAGGTCAAAGCTGCAGTGAGCTCTAATTGTGCAGACTGCACTCCATCCTGGGTGACAGAGCGAGACCCTGTATCTTTATTTTATTTTATTATTTATTTAGATGGAGTTTCACTCTTGTCACCCAGGCTGGAGTGCAATGACATGATCTCGGCTCACTGCAGCTATCGCCTCCTGGGTTCAAGTGATTCTCCAGCCTCAGCCTCCTGAGTAGCTGGGTTTAAAGGTCCATACCACCATGCTCGGCTAATTTTTTGTATTTTTAGTAGAGACAGGGTTTCACCGTGTTCGCCAGGCTGGTCTTGAACTCTTGACCTTAGGGGATCCACCAACCTCGGCCTCCCACAGTGCTGGGATTAGAGGAGTGAGCCACTGCGCCTGGCTTGAGACCCTGTATCTTTAAAAACAAAACAAACTCCGTGTGTGTGTGTGTGTGTGTGTGTGTGTGTGTGTGTGTGTAGTAGTAGTAGTAGTAGTATGTATATGTATGTAAAATAAAAACTTTTTTTCCCACCTGTCTCCTCTTTTAGAGTTTTTTGTCTGGTGTATTCGCTGCTATTATCTTCAGTGTCTAGAATAATGAATGGTGTTCAATAAATATTTGTCAAATTCTAGAGGTTTTTTTACCTGTGATTTTTTTCAGTAACGGAATACTTAGTAACTATAGAATTTATAGTGGTAGAACTCTAGCTGACATCAGCTATTCTCTCTCACATCGCAGGGACCAGTGCTTTGTACTATTGAGGCAGTAGTGCTTTAATGGCACAAGCTTTGGAACCAAATTAACTGGGTCCAAATCTGGTTCTGATGCATTCTGTCTGAATGACATTGGATAAGTTACCATGCTTTCTCATCTGTAAAATGAGAATAACATAATATCTATCACAGAGGGTTGTTTTGAGCCATGTAACGCTCTCAGAACAGTTCTTGGTGCATAGTAAATGTTCAGTATATGTTAGTTATGATTGTTACCGTTTCAGACCCATCCCAGCAGTTCTGAGTCTGTTGTACTCCTGAGTGGCAATACTGAGAACTGATTCAGGGTCTCCTCCTTATCACCAAGTCTCTTTCTCCTTTAAAAATATCATGGGTATGTTAGGTCTGCCTTTCTACCCTTCACCTCCAGTTCTCTCTTCTACTGTTTAATCTTTACTTACACTAATAGCATTCTTTTATATATCCACATTTTCCCCTCTTTTTTTTCTCTTCCTTTCTCCCTTCCTGTCCTTTTAGCAAGTACTTATTAAGCATTACTTTTTGCTTCCCTATTCTGTTCTAAATCTTGCTGTTTCTTTTTCCTTATCTTCATGTCTTTGTTTCATTATCAAATAAAAAATTACCTAATTTATGGTTGATTGACTAGAATTACATTTGTATCAGGGAAAATGGGAATGCAGTAGGTGTTGAAATAAAATTGAAATTATTTTTTAAAAAGTTGCACCAGTGACTAAAACCCTTGAAAGTACTCCTACTCCTTCCTCTAAATCTACAGAAGTCTCTACTTTCTTAGTCAGTGATTAAATTTGTCTTCTACCAACCAACGTGCAAGGTGATCTGGGGGAAAAGTATCTCTTATTTAATTACATTGGCATTATTTGTAATTTTCTGCTATTTTAGCTATCTTGTTTTTTGTTTATTTTTATTTCAGATGGATAGTAGTTCAGGTACATTACTGGTACAGTGTGCTCAAACGTTTTCCCCATGATTACTAGGTTCTTGTGATATCTGGTCTAGAAACACAGCCATCATTTATAAATCTGTGTGTGTGTGTGTGTGTGTGTGTGTGTGTGTGTGTGTTTCTTTTAATGGGAGAATGTGATCAGAGTTCTAAAAAACTGAAATAAAAATGCATTTTTAGAATATGACTTATTTTGTAAATTTTAGATAGATTATAGAATGACTACAATACCCTTTTTCAGAGCAGAGGAAGTGAACCCATTTAGGCATCCGTTTAAAGGAGTTTTGTTTTGAGGCTTTAAGGGTCTTTCATCTGTAAGATGAGCTGTGGTACTGCCTATTATATATTAATAAACGTTACAAGGAAAACAGTACTCTTTTTGCTCCCTTTTCTCGGTATAGTCTTTTTTTCCGAGCACATTTCAGAAATAAAGACCACTAAAATGCTACTTAATGTAATCTCAGTTACTTGGGAGGCTGAGGCAGGAGAATACCTTGATCCTGGGAGGTGGAGGTTGCAGAGAGCCGAGATCGTGCTACTGCACTCTAGCCTGGGTGACAGAGCAAGACTCCATCTCAAAAAAAATAAAAAAATTTTAAAAATGCTACTTAAAAGTACCCCCCACCATATTTATAAGTTCTGGGTTCACATTTCTTTTTCTAGTACATATTTAGCCCGTTCATTCATCAGTTATTAAGGCCATGCTATTTGCCAGCAATTTGGGTAATGAACAGCACTATAAGACACAATTAAAAGTATCAGATTTCTACCTTTGTTTATCGGTGATTTGCATTTTTTCAGTAACTCTCATTTTCCTTTGAATTCTTAAGATTTACCTCTTTGACTTAAGAAGTAAACTAAATTTTAACTACAGCTTTCAAAATTTGTATTAGAATTGGACAATAAAGCTTTATTTATTTATTTATTTTTTTACTATTTCACAAAACAAAATGTAGCTTTCTTAAAATTTGTTAGTTAAAATGTTTTCTTTGTTTTCCCAATAAAATGTAAAGTTTAATATGTGATGGCTAAACTCCTAGGGGGATAAGGAGGCGCTAGGAGAATAGGCAGGTTGGAAAAGGGTAGTCGGGACTTGTCCAGATTCTTGTGTGGTAGTCTGGGTAGTCTGTATATTTACCATATGGGCTACAAGACACACACACACACACACACACACACACACACACACACACACACACACACACACACACACCCTTGTGAGCATTTATTAATTCGCAGTTGATGGTGCATAGTTTGGGGAGTGGGTAAAGGATATGTTACTTTTGTAAGTACAGAATCGATTCTGACCGCTCATTCATTGAATGAAAGTTTGAGTTTCTACTACCTGTAGGTACCTTTAGGGAAGCTTTAGAAATGTAACCTGGAATTTTGCATAAACTAAACCTAGCCAGAGGCTCAGTGGCCCCCCTTTTCATTCTCTAATAGAAAAGTAAAGAGGGAGTGAGTGAGTACAAATCACCATTAAACAAAAGTAATATATTTTAGGTTTAACTATTTAATAAACCTAAAATATAAATATTACCTCACTCCCTCTTTCCTTTACTTTTCTGTTTCTTTTCCTTTTGAATGCCGGAAGACTTTAATGCTCATTATCTTAGTCTGCTAGGGCTGCTATCACAAATTACCACAGTCTGAGTGGCTTAACCAACAGCAAATTGATCTTGGAAGTCCAAGACCAAGGAGCCAGCAAGGCAGATTTCATTCTGAAGCCTCCTCTTGTGGCTTGTAGGTGACTGCCATCTAGTCTTGTGCTCACACAACCTCTTCTTTGTGCATAGGGACAGGAGTGGGGAGGGGAGCAAGCTCTCTGGTGTCTCTTTTAAGGACAATGATCCTATTGGAGCAGTGCCACTCCCCTATCACCCCCACCTTACTTAACATTAATTATTTCCTTAGAAGCTCCATCTCCTAATACAGGTACAGGGGTGGGCAGGGTGCAAAGAGGTGAGTTAGGGCCTCAACATAGGAACTTGGAGTTGGGGGGACACAAACACTTGGTCCATAACACTTGTCTTTTTAATTCATAAAATAATTTGAGTATTTACTGTGTGTTAATCACCTTGGTAGACTTGCTACTATGTAGCTGTGCAAACTCAAGGAAATTACTTAACCTCATTAGGCCACAGTTCATTTATCAGTAAAACAGAGATGTTGAACCCATTAATAGCTATGATGCATTCCAGCTTAATCACTATTACTTCCATGTTCATTTCATTCCCTTATTTTCCTCTCTCCCTAAGATTTTCTTCCCTCCCTAAGATATTTAAGATTGTTATGTCAAATTTCCTTTCTGTTTTTGACCATCCTTCTTTTTCTTTCATTCTGTTCCTTTATGTTTTTTATGTCTTAGGTTGTTTTCTGCCTCCATCCACCCCTTTCCTGAATTGGACATGTTTTTGACAACTTGTAAGTTTACTAGATTTATTAGCTCTTTAAAAGTTTAGGAGGTAGACGGAATTTTTTTTTTCCGCTCAACATACTGAAAGCCTTTAAATTAAACTTACTCTAGGTAAATTGCTTTGTACCTTTTACATTGCCTTGTACATGCCTTACCTTTGTTGCGTGTTTGATTTCTTTTCCTGTAGTCTACTGCCTTTCGCTAGGCAGGTTTCCTCACAGCATTATTTCTTAGAATTGTGAGGAGACTAGTGATACTGCTTTTCATGTATGCCTTTACTAAAGCATCTAATTCATCATATGGGCAGTTAATAAGTATGAATTGATGAGATGACAGTCGTGTATTTTTTACTCTTCAGGGAAAGAAAGACCTTGTGCTATCCCTTCCAATTTCTCCCTTTTGATCTGTGACATTTGGAAGTAGTTATGGCCGGGCGCCATGGCTCACTCTTGTAATCCCAGCACTCTGGGAGGTGGGTGGAGCACTTGAGGCCAGGAGTTCGAGACCAACCTGGGTAATATGGAGAAACCTTGCTTCTACTAAAAATAACAAAAAAAATTAGCTGGGCGTGGTGACACCTGTCCGTAATCCCAGCTACATGAGAGACTGAGGCATGATAACCATTTCAACCAGGGAGGCAGAAGTTGCGGTGAGCCAAGATCCTGCCACTGTACTCCAACCTAGGCAACAAAGTGAGACTTTTATCTAGTTGTTCTGCAGTCTCAGTGGCAGTGGCTTTTCTCCTTTTGTGAATATCAACAACAAACTACAGAGTTGACTCACAGGATGTAAAAAATTGGGGTGACATGCATGGGAGACTGTGTTGATACTAATATTTGCATGACTGATTGAGAAAGTTTGTCAGAAACATTGTCACTAGTACTATTGTAGGAACTACGCTATGAGTGGGGTGAAGTCTTGCCCTAGCATTAGTATAAATCCTTAGCCTGCTGGGCATAGTCTTAAGAAACAACCCATTCAGGGTCGGGTGTGGTGGCCTGTAATCTCAGCACTTTGGGAGGTGGGTGGATTGCTTGAAGTCAGGAGCTCGAGACCAGCCTGGCCAACATGACGAGACCCCGTTTCTACAAAAAATGCAAAAATCAGCTGGGCGTGGTGGTACACACCTGTAATCCCAGATACATGGGAGGCCAAGGCATGAGAATTGCTTGAACTGGGGAGGCGAAGGTTGCAGTGAGCCGAGATCATGCCACTGCACTAGGTGACAGCAAGACTGTGTCTCAAAAAAAAGAAAAAAGAAACAACCAATTCAGTAACAAATTTTGCAGTTTAAAGCTGTTTCTTTTAGAATTAAAACTCTCTAATCTCTGCAGTGTGGTAATGGGTATTGAGATAATGGTGGTGATAATTATAAAGTTGCTGATTATCAGCTACTGATTTTTGAATGCCGACTATTTGCCAGGCTTAATACTGCTACGGGAGGGGGTCAGGGAAGTGCTGGATAGAGAAAGGTGACCCCTGGCTAGGGCTCCACTCCTATGGACCTAGGTGAGTAGAGGCACTCCAGCTTTCATGCCCAAGTGTTGCATTTTTCAAGACCATCCTGGCCTGCCATGCCCCCCATCCTGGGCCTATAAAAACCCGAGACCCTAGCGGGCAGACATACAGGCAGCCAGATGTCAAGAGACGAACACCAGCTGAAGAAGATACAAGCAGCTGGATGGTGGGAGGACGTCAAGGGAGCAAGCCGGCAGAAGAGCACACCGACAGACGTCAGCACCCTGGCAGGCCATTGACGGGTGGGACAAGGCGGAGTTTGGCTGGGGCAGTCGGAGGAGAGCCGAGGCCACTGAGCAGCCGAACTCTAGGGCTAAACCATCTCCCTTCTGGCTCCCACATTGGTGGAAAAATCCTTCCACTCAATAAAACTTTGCACTCATTGTCCAAGTCCACGTATGATCCAATTCTTCTGGTACACCAAAGCAAGAACCCGGGATACAGAAAGCCCTCTGTCCTTGCAACAAGGTAGAGGGTCTGATTGAGCTGATTAACACAAGTCGCCTATAGACGGCAAACTAAAAGAGCACCCTATAACACATGCCCACTGGGGCTTCAGGAGCTGTAAACTCTCACCCCTAGACACTGTCATGGGGTCGGAGCCCCACAGCCTGCCCGTCTATATACTCCCCTAGAGGTTTGAGCAACGGGGCACTGAAGAAGCAAGGGGGAACAAGAGAACCTTTCCTGTTTCAATACCAAGCATTTTACAGTCATTAACATGTCGAATTCTAAGAGCAACCCCAGTAATGGACAGGCCATTCTAGCTATGTAAACTCTTCAAAGGCAGCACTTGGTACAGTGCTGGGCACTTACTTGTCAGGATTTGGTAGATGCTGAACTGATTTGAACTCTAGCATCATCTTGCTTAAAATTGTCATTCTTTGCCTACCCTTGCCCTGCCCAGCTATGGATACAGAGGTTTTACAAATTTGAATCTCTGTGCTCTAAATTAGAGAGTTTAATCTGACCTTATGTTAAGGAGCTTGCCTCGCCAGTAGTCAGCTGGTTTTTCAAATAATTCGATACCTCATTACCCATGTACCAGGGGTTAAACATTACCCTTATTAAATTGGCTAGTCTACTCACCTGGTCTTCTTGCCTTGGTGCATGGTGGCACTCTAGTTTCTCTTGGAACCTGAGCCAACTCTGAACCCTCAGCCATTTTTTGTCAGTGCCTCTTTTGAGCTTACTGGATCCCAATTCCTTTTTTGCTTTGAGTTTGATGGTATTCCTTTCCATGTGGCTAGGAAAAGTGAGACCATGCCTTGTCATCTTACACCAAAGCCCTTGAATAAGAACAGCTCAGATTAAGCTAGTCTGATATATTCTTAAGACCTGACCATTTGGATCTTGACCTCCATCTGCAGCACATAATAAGTCTTTTCCCAGTTTCTACCTTGAACAGCCTTTATTTTAGTTTCATAATTTCTGTACCCAGGACTTCACCATTTCCCTGTATTTCCATTGTTGCATATTGAGGTTATGCAGTCTGAAGCTCCTCTGAACTGTTTTTCAGAATGCCTTTCCTTCTGCTTCGGACCATCAGAGCTTCCTAGTTTCCTCTATTCCCTTCTCTCACCTTCACATTTCTTTTGTTCCCCTTTCCTCCAACCATAGAGTACACATTACTTGGGAAAACCCGATTATATAATATTTTAGAGCATAGGTCTTGGAAACATGTTTATGCACTGTCAAAGTTGCGTTTCCATTCATCTGTCTCTCCCCAGGTAATTAGCATAAATGAAAATAGTGACCTTTTAGAATATCTTTCAAGGGTGGTAGCCAACATACCAACCCAGGATACTGCTGAGTAGGAGCCAGCTGGCATGAAGAAGCAAGGACAAGAGTAAACCTTTTAAGTGGGCAGTTTCAAAAGTATAGAACTAAATGGAAGCAAGAAAAATGAGGGGAGTGTGGATATGGTGCTAATTCTAATGTGGCAAAGATTTTAAAATAATACAGAGGCAATCCAGAATACATTGAGAGCCC
Source organism: Homo sapiens (assembly GCF_000001405.40). Taxonomy (NCBI): domain Eukaryota; kingdom Metazoa; phylum Chordata; class Mammalia; order Primates; family Hominidae; genus Homo; species Homo sapiens. The sequence goes on along the minus strand of NC_000022.11, from coordinate 35,870,891 downwards.
CAGTGAATTGTTTTCTTTAAATTTCATGTCATGTGTAGTCATGTTTCTCAATGGACAAATGGTTAGTGGACCAAATGACATTTTTTACTCATCCCTGAGTAAAAAGTCCAACGAATATAGTTCATTAGACTGCTGCTTGTTGTCTCCAAACAGATCCTGAAAGTTCAAATGACTGGGAGTCAGAACCTAAAAATATAATATACCCCACTGTTTTGGCAGGAAATTGAGACCTGCTTTTATCAGCCACTTATCCAGAAAGCATATGTTCTATATAAATCAAGCCAAATCTATATTGTCTGCAAGTATTCCTGCAATATAGTTGATGTTCATAATGTGATCCAGATATTTTCAGTATACTTCTGTGTATTTTGATTATCACATGACTTTTTATTTATTTGTTTGTTTGTTTATTTATGTTTTGAGATGGAGTCTAGCTCTGTCACCCAGGCTGGAGTGCAGTGGTGCAATCTCGGCTCACTGCAGCCTCCACCTCCTGGGTTCAAGCAATTCACCTGCCTCAGCCTCCTCAGCTAATTTTTGTATTTTTAGTAGAGATGGGATTTCACTCTGTTGGCCAGGCTGGTCTCAAACTCCTGACCTCATGATCTGCCTGCCTCAGCCTCCCAAAGTGCTGGGATGGCAAGCATGAGCCACCGTGCCCAACCATGACTGTTTTTAAATAGAAACTCCTGGGCCTCCTGCGTTCCAATTTTATTGTTTCTCTAATGACACAGCAGTGACTGCAAACCCCTTTTCTGTTATACTTTTTCTTTTGCATATAGACTACTATTTTGAACCTTTTGAAAGGGCCTTGCCACAAAAGTCCATATTTACATTCTGTATGTTTAGAGCCATGATCTCAATCAGAAATGAGAGGGAGGTATAAATCAGAATTCAGTGTTAGAGTAAGAGACTGTATAGTTCAAAAAAATTTAAACCTCTAACTCATAATAAACATTTCAGAAAGTAGGTTGTACGTGCTATTCTGGGTTGATGAAAGTTTCAGAAGATAAAAGTAAATATGATAAAGGTTTTTAAAATGGTTAAAAACACAGGTTTAGAGTCTCTCATTTTCTCACAGTGACTAAAAGAATTTCCACTTTGGTAAGTCTGCAGTAGAAGTATGTCATTAGAGCTTCTTCAGACTAAAAGATGAGGGATGACTTGAGAAAAATTTGGACATGACCATAAGGGGCAATATATTCTTGACCCAAGATTTTCTCCTGAGGACTTGAACCAGATTAGCTTAAACAACTGTTTAAAGAAAAAACAACATCAAAAGGCTCACGCCTAGAATCCCAGCACTTTCAGAAGCTGAAGTGGGAAGATGGCTTGAGGCCAGGAGTTCCAGACAAGCTTGGACAACATATTGAGACCCTGTCTACATTTTTTTTTTTTTTTTTTTTTTTTTTTTTTTTTTTTGGTCAGCCGTTGGCTGGGTGTGGTGGCTCATGCCTGTAATCCCAGCATTTTGGGAGGCTGAGGCAGGTAAATCACTTGAGGTCAGGAGTTCCAGACCAGCCTGGACTGGACAAGTGAAACCCTGTCTTTACTAAAAATACAAAAATTAGCCAGGCGTGGCGGTGGGTGCCTGTAATCCCAGCTACTAGGGAGGCTGAGGCAGAGAATCGCTTGAACCCAGGAAGCAGGTTGCAGTGAGCCGAGATCGCACCACAACAAACAACAAAACCCCACAGAAGTCTTTCTTAGTGGACTAGCCCCTTTAGTAAGACAGTTGGAATGTGTTGGAGCTGGAATGTTTTCTTGTCAGTTGGTTCCTGACTTGAAAGAATCACAGTGGGGTGGGGTAGCCTAGGAATTGGATCTCTGGCCTAGCCCTTAGTAGAAAAAGGGATTGAGGTTTCTGTGAAAGCAGTTGAGGGTTAGAAATAAAGGTAAAGCCCTTTAACCAAAGGAAAACATTCAAAAGAGGTAGCATTAGGAAGTAGACTTGGGGGGAAATACCTAAACTAGAAGTAATGATTGTTTGCCAAGGAAAGATAGGTGTGTTTAAATGGAACAATACCTTAAAGAAGGAATTGTCTCATGACCTTGTTAATTTCTGGCCTGTTGTTTCTTAATCTTTATTTTGAGTCTCGAACATCTTTGAGAATTTAATGAAATCTCTGGACTAGGTCCCCAGAACAGTGTACGTATTTACAACATTTTGCAACACAGTTTTCAGGAGATCATGGGCCTTGTGAAGCTCAACCATATTAAGAATACATTAACTAGTGCCCATACTTAGTGGAAACTTGGCACGTGCCACCACACCTGGCTAGTTTTTAATTTTTTTTTTTTTAAAATAGAGACAGGGCCTGACTATGTTGTCCAGGCTGGTCTTGAACTCCTGGGCTGAAGCAGTCCTCCCACCTTGGCCTCCCAGATTGGTAGGATTACAGGTGTCAGCCACCACGCCTGCCTATTATCTTATTTTAAAAAGATTATTCCAAAAGTATCTGTGATAGATCCTTTCTCACTTTTGCTGTTTAAAATGGGAAGTAACAAGCACTATGGTGTTAACCTACACTTTCTATGAAGGTTCTACATATTAGTATTGGTCCTTATTTGATTCAAGCCAAAATTTCTATCCTAATTTTTCTTAAGTTCCAATAGTTTATATAGGTAATATAAAAACTGGTTTTTATATTTGTTTATTTATTTTTGAGACAGCATGTCATTCCTGTCACCCAGGTCCCATTGCTCAGGCTGGAGTGCAGTGGTGCCATTGTGGCTCACTACAGCCTCAACTTTCTGGGCTCAGGTTTTTCTCTGCCTCAGTCGCCTGAGTAGCTGGGACTACAGGCTCACACCACCACACCCAGCTAATTTTTTGTATTTTTAGTAGAGTTAGGGTTTTGCCATGTTGCCCAGGCTGGTCTCGAACTCCTAGGCTCAAGGGATCCTCCCACCTCAGCCTCCCAAAGTGCTGAGATTACAAGTGTGAGCCACTGTGCCTGGCAGAACTGGTTTTTAAAAAGTGGTGTGATATGCTGTGTTGGATATTACGTTGGCAATTAATCATATCTAAAAGTGTTTATGTCTTTTGTTTGATAGTCATATTTTGTTTTTGGCTAAGAGGATTCAAGGGAACTTCCTCTGGAGGTAAAAAAGAAAAAATTTAAAAAAATTTTAAATTGTAGAACTGATGGTCAAATGGAAGATGGGAGCCCTTAATTTTTTCTTCATAAAATAGTTTTCAAAGAATGCTAATTTTAAAAAGCTAATCAAACTTACTTACAGAGGGCCCATCTCTTTAAGTTCTGGTAACCCTTACCAAAGCAACAATATTTAGTTAGTATATTTAAGAAACATGAATAACAAATTAAAAAGGCTATTACAAGGTGGTTTCTGCATACTGATTTTGTCCTATGGTGTGAGCAATTGTGTGTCTAGTAAACGCAAAGAATACATTGTAAAGCCCATACAATGATTTGGTAACTCCAAAGGAAGAAATACATGATATAATCATTACAAACATTAGGTGTCATCACTTTATGGCATTCTGGGTGACATCAAAATATAAAACTGCTGGCAGATGTACTCATATTATTCTGGATTTCAGTGCCAAGTAGATTTTGTTTTCATTAAACTTTGTTTTGAGATAATTGTAGATTCATGCAAATGTTTCAAGTGTGGTATTTGATGGAATTTTGACATAGGCAAACTACTTGTGACACAATCACAGGAAAGGTAGTGAATATATCTGTTAACCTTAAAAGGTTCTTTTCTTTATCATTTTGCCACATTTGCTGTACTATTCTCTTTTTTTCTGAACCATTTGAAAGTACGTTTTAAGTGTGTGTGTGTGTGCATGTGTGTGCATATAAAATCCCTTCAGTCTTAGATAATTTCATATTTATTTTCTAAGAATAAAGGCGTTTTCTTACATAACCACAATGCAGTTATGAAATCAAGACATTGAACGTAGATACTGTTACACATTCTGTAGGGCTCCAAGGGCTCTCTAATTCTGTGATATTTCTTGGATGGGGATGTTGAGACTCCTGGTTAGAGCCTGGCCAGGGTAGAAGTGAAGGCTCCTCACTTGGCCTTTCCTGGCGTGAGTGGGAGTGAAGTGGTATTTGGCTGGATTAAGGCAGCCTGCATGTTTTCTGTCTTGCTAGGCCACCCCTTTTCTTGTTCTTTGGCTGAGAGGAGCCTTTCACTGGGGGCTTTTTTTTGTCAGTGCCTGTTGGTGTTTCTGGGTCCTTTAGTTGCAAGTCTGGGCTACATGAGGCAAGAAGAAAACCCAAGGAACTCACCACCCTGTCTAGTTTTCTTGCTTCTTTCAACCTTTGAGGAGTCATCTTATGTTTAATATATGAAATGTCTAGGGTTTTAAATTGTACTTAGTGGGAGGGATAGGGAAAAGTATGTGTATTCCATCTTCCTGGAAGCAGAAGTCTGTAGTTTTGTTTTATGTTAATTAAATAATAGTATGTCTATCAAAGAGATGCATGTGTGTAAATTAATGCATAAATATAAATATTCCAAGATAAATTGTTTGAAATTAATAAATATAAATGAGTTTGAAAATTAATGTATGCACTTTCAAAAAAATGGCGTATATATTATGTTCCAAATTGCCTTTCTGTGTTTATTTTAGGAATTAAAATTCTAAGAATCATAAGACTACAAAGGTATTTAGGAAATACATATTTAATTATGCAGTTTGAATAAACCTTCACGTTGTCTTTTCTGGTATACCCCCAAAAGTCTTTTGTTATTGTTTGCTTTTGATTGATGGCAGGTTTTAAAAGCTTACCCCTAAACCAACCTTTTGAGAAATTTTACTTAAAATATACTATTTTTCTAGTTATTAAAATGTAATTATCAATCTGTAGCATATGTAGTTCCAGCTGGATCTCTGTGTCTTCTAATTTATCCCCAGTGCATATCCATCTTAGACACACTGGCTACAGTGTGATAGCCAATATTTGGCATGTTGTTGCTTATTGTGTTAACAATTTTAATTTTTTTCCTTGATTTGCTGTTATTCATGGCATAGCTGCCTTTTTTTTAGCTAAAGAACAACACAACAGTCCTTTATCTGAAACTCTGGAAGCCAGATATGTATTATCATTTGGAATCTTTTGGGTTTTAGAAAGAATATGCAATACATGTACCCTATATTAGGCTAACCACCAGTATTTGGGTAAGAGGCAACACTGTGTAATCATACTCATCTATTTGCAGCTAAATGTTTTTGAATATTCACACCATAATATTGTTATATCCACACTAGTTTAGGTCACATTTGTCACTAAGTGAATCCCTCTTCTATCAAAGTGAATCCCTCTTCTATCACCATCAAAAAAAAATAATAATAAAGATGGGGGAGGGGAAAAGGATGGTGAAGAAAGAAACTTAGTTTTCCAGGCTTTTTGAACGCTGGAATTAAAGATACGGGTTTTTGGACCTGTGTAGGTAGGGCAGTCACCAAGCCTAGTCAGAGGAAAAGCCCCTGTTTAGTCCTGAACTCCTCAGTGTTTAACTGAGGAATTGGTGCTATAGGCCTGGTGTTACCAACTATGATTGTTTTCAATATAAAACAAAAGTGGCTATTGATTTAATCCTGTTATATGGTGTTGATCTTAAAAACTCATTGGATTCATACTAGGATTTAGGGTTTAATCCTGTAAGGATCATACTAACTTTCATCTTATTTATCCTAAATCCCTCTTTAATCTTATTAATCATGCCAGGCTTTTTTTCCAAGGGCCGAGATATACATCCATCCATCCATCCATCCATGTATGTAGTATATATTCATACAGTTATTTTTCCAAAGTTATCTATCTTTCTATGAAAGAGAAGATCAGTTTTCTCAAAGAGAGCCAAAGACCCATGAATACTTCTGCAGAGTAGCATTAGTATTGCAAGGATGACATCAGTTCTGTATTCTTAAACCTAAGATTAAAGTAGGTCTTGGCAGGGCCTCCTGAGAGGGAATCTAGTCTTAGCCTTGGATTTCCTGAGAAGGCATATGGCACTCTTCTGAAAGTGGGATGTTATTTCAGTTTAGAAGCTCTTAGTCAAAAAATATTGGATGAATTAATTGCAATGGAGACACTGCTTTCTAATAGTGGAACAAAAAGTCATTTCTTAGCTTTTGACCTTTGCCCTGAACTGGTGCTGTGTGCATTAGGAAAAGAAAATACACATTTGGTCTTAAGTCACTGTTTCTACTTTGCACAATATAACTGATTCAGACCTTGTGCTCTGTTTCTTTCATTTCTCAAAGGATAATTGTCAGTGACCATCCTCTCCAAGCAATCAAAGTAATAGATCCTAAGTATAAGTTATTATTTTTCTTATTTCTACTTTTGGGGGTGGGAAGTTTGAGAATTAGATCAAAACTTTTATTGATTGATTCAGCAACCAGTAAACCTGTACCAAATGTTCACCTTTGGGGCCTCACATGATTATGTTCCCTCTAGTTATTGGGTGGTGGTTGTCATCATTGTTTTCAACTGATTTGCCCACATTATACAGTTTTGACCTGGACTGAGTAACTTATGTAAATTCCTTAAATTGCTATATTATAGTGGTTTCAGGTCATGGGGAAAAAACCCTGGTAGGTACTATGAACCCTTCTATGTTTATTTCACTTATGACTTAATTACTCAGATTCCTAGATATAAAAAGTGTAGCAAAACATTGTATTATGAGTTAAAATAAAACTGGCTTTATTTTTTGATATTTTATGTTCAGCTGTACTTTATTTTTTCCAAGTGAAATAGGTAAAAAGGTCTTTTATGCATATATGATTATGAATGTTTACTTTGCATATTAATTTAAAAGGAAATTAAGAGAATATGTTTGCAAAAACAGATGAATCATTATTAATGAAAATCATGTAATGCTGACACTGATCTGAGAAGCAGAAGAAGTTTTTACCAGGATCTAATTGTATAAATGGGAAATTTAGGGTTAAGGAACTCACTTTAGGTGTTGGAGTAATTGTATATATGCATGCTTTGCCCGAAGTGAGGAGGGGCAACTTCGATTTCTAATCCGCTTTGGGGGAAGTTCCATATCAGAGCTGCACAGAAACATTCAGTGAAGCAGCTCCTTTATCATAAAGGGAATTTTAATTTAAAAATATTCTTGCATCGTGAGCAGGGTAAACGACAGCTGGCTACACTGGGCATTTATCTCCTTCAAACCACATTACCAGTAATTGCTGCATTAAATCAAAGTCAGAAGAGATTACAGGTCTGAATGGATCAAGGGGCTAGTGCTAACCCAAGGATTCCCACAACTGCTACATTGCTGCTCTTAGAGCCCTGTCTCTATCCCCAGTAGGTATGAGAGTCAGGTGCAGCTGTCAGATTCCTGACAGCTCATCTGTAAGGCATGAGCATAGTGAACACAATCCAAGAAGAGGGGCAGGTACACGCTCAAGACACCCTGGCCGCCTTTTTGGATTAGCTTTTTATTTTGAACGCAAGAGAATGGCTTCTTATTGTTTTTCGGTACTGTTAAAGAGAGAACATGTTGCCTGCTTTGTGCTTAAGGAAATTTGCTTTGGCATAAAAATCACTTCAATTTTCTCTCCTCCTTTATTTATTGATATTCCCTTCTTGGTCAAGGGTAGTCTTCTCACTTGATTTATGTTACAGAAATGTAACATAAATTTACAAAAATAACATAAATATGTTACAAAATAACAAATATTTGCAAAAATAACATATTTTGTAAAATGTTACAAATATTTACAAAATAACAACAATATGTTACAAAAATAACGTAAATGCCCTGTGCTAGGTATGGGTAGGTGCTCTCCCCTGCCCCCCAGCTGACTTTTCTCCTCCTAACACAGTTACCTAGTTCTTTATATGCTTTCTGCCTGCTGTTGAGGCCACTTATTCCTCAGATATAGATTTAGCTTCGTAATTCAGATAATTCTCAATCTCTTTTAAATGTCCTTCAATTATCAGAGATAATGATGATGACGACGACAGCAATGACGCCGATAACATCAACTATAATTTAATAATCAGTATATGCCAGGCCTATTCATATATCAACTGATTTAGTCATCACAGCAGCCCCATGAGATAGGTACTATTATTATCTTCTTTTTCCAGACGAAGAACTTGAGGCAGAGAGGTGTTAAATAACTTTTCTCAAATTACACAGCTAAGAAGTTATGGAGCTAAGATTCGAATCAAGTAGCCTGGCTTAACAGAGGCCTGAACTCTTACCCACATGTGATGTTGCTTGTGTACTACAACCAGGTACTCTGCTAGGTATTAGGGATACTTTAAGGAAGAAGGTGGACTATGTAGTACCTGCCCTCCTGAAGTGGGAGAGACAGAAACGATGATATGTCTGGCAAAGTGAGGAGGATGTATGCACGTGCTAAAGGGGTTCTCTAGCAGGGGGCTAATCTAGACTGATCAGAAGGAATTTGCTACCAGTCTTCCTTTTCAGAAGACCTTTTCTGTAGTGTTTTAGGGAAGACGGATGCCTTTCCCCCATCTCCTTTTATCATTCCCCCCCCCCTCCAAAGAAAATAACTAACCCTTCAAAAATTCATTGCATTAAGTGGGACAAGAATTCATTATTTTAATTTTTTAACAACTCGATGGAGGTATAATTGATATACAATGAACTGCACCTATATAAAATTAATTTGTTAGGTTTTGGCATATGTATATACCCGTGAAATCACCACAACCAAGATAATTAACATATGAATCATCTCCGTAAGTTTTCTCATGCCCCTTTGTAGTGCTCCCAATATGCTCTTACCTCCCCAGCACATCTCCAAGCAACCGCTTATCTGCTTTCTGTCACTATTGATTAGTTGGCAATTTCTAGTATTGTATAAAAATGGACTCATACAATAAGTACTGTTTTGCGTGGCTTCTTTCGCTCAGCATAATTATTTTGAAATTCATCCATGTTACTGTATATACTGGTGGTTCATTAATTTTTATTTCTAAGTAGTAGTAATTGTGGATATATGACAATTTGTTTATCACTATTACTTATCTGTTGATGGATATTTGGATTGTTTCCAGTTTTAGGCCAGACAAATAGATTTTTTATGAGTATTCATATTCATATTCTTTATATGTTCTTTTTTCTCTTGGGTAAATAGTTAGAATAGATAGATCATATGGTAGGTGTGTGTTTGAATTTATAAGAACTTGCTAAACTGTTTCCACATTGGTTATACCATTTTACATTCCACCAGCAGCATATGAGACTTTCGGTTCCTCCATAGCCTTGCCAAAGCTTGGTATTGTCGAAGTCTTTTAAATAGGTATGTAGTGATATCATACTAATAGGTTCTAATTTCCTAGTGAATAATGATACTGAGCTTCTTTTCATGCGCTTGTTTACTATCTCATTTACCATCTTCTTTTAATCAGGTGTTCATTTTTTTTGCCCATTTTTTAAAAAACGTGGGTTGTTTTGTTTCTTATGGTTGAATTTTGAGAGTTCTTGTATATTCTGAATACAAGTCCTTTATCAGGTGTATACTTTGCAAGCATTTTCTCTCAGTTGTGGCTTGTCTTTTTATTCTCCTCACAGTGTCTTTTGATAAGCAGAAGTTTTAAATGAAGTCCAATTTATTGTTCTTTTATGGATTATGTTTTTAATGTTATAGCTTAGAAATCTTTGCCTAATCCAAGGTCACAGAAGTTTTCTCCTAGAAGTTTTACAGTTTTATCTTTTACATTTTTAGGTATGTGGTCCATTTTGAGTTGTTTTGTATTTGGAAAGAAGTATAAATCTCGTTTCTTTTCATCCAGTTGTGTCAGCACCATTTGTTGAAAAGACTGTTCTTTCTCTACTGAATTCCGTTTGCACCTGTGGATCTATTTCTGGACTTTCTATTCTGTTTCACTGATCTATTTTTCTCTCTTGACACCAGTATCATACAGTCTTATAGGGATGTGAGTATTATGGGATCTAGCAGACTTCAGAAGAAATGATAAGTGTTACAAACATCAGGTATAGCATTCGATTTCAGTACAGGCCTAGAGAAAAGATAGTCATAATCTTTAAAAACCCTTTATTTGAATAGTGGAATGAAGTGGAGAGATATACTGTGTTGATAGTCAGAAAGACTCAATTCTCTCGGATGTTAATTCTCCCCAAAGTGATCTGTAGATTCAGTGTATATCCCAATCAGAATCTTAGCCAGATATTTGTAGAAATTGACAAGCTGATTCTAAAACTCATATGGAAATGCCAAAGACCTAGAATAGCCAAAACAACTTTGAAGAAGGAAAACAAAGTTGCAGGACTAACACAGCCTGATTTAAAGCCTGCAGACAGTGTGGTGTTGGTGTCAGTATTGAGGTTTACATCTTCATGTTATGCAATGAAATTGTGTCAGTTAGGTTTTGCTGTGTAACAAACTTTCCCACAACTTAATAGCTTAACAAAGTGTTAATCATTTATTTGCTCAGAGTTCTGCGGGTCAGGAGTTTGGGTGATTGTTTTAGTCTTGGCCGCATTTGCTGAGCCTCAGTGGTCTAGGATAACCTCACTCTCATGTCTGGCAGTTGGCAGGTTAGTTGATCTGGGGGCTCAGCTGGAGCAGTTCATCTGTATTCCACTTGCTCTCGTCCTTCACACTTCTTCACACAGTAGTGTCGGGGTTCCAGAGAGTAGCAAGAGAGGGCAAGCCTCAGTGAACAGGCACCTGTCAAGCCTCTGCTTGTGTGATATTTGCTAATATCCCCAAGACCAATGTGAGTCACAAAGCTAAGACCAAATTCAAGGGGTGGAAGAAACAAATTCCACTTCTTGATGGAGGAGCTGTGAAATATTATGACCAATTTTTTGTAGTTCACCAAAAAGGTATTATGAGTTAGTTGAGATAAAAGTTATTATGGAGAGAAAAAAGTTTTGTTGTATAAGATAATGTATGTGAAATTATTTTTAGGTATGTTTCCCTAACAGTATTAGAATATTTAAAATTATTTCCTGCTCTGAAAGTTTTACATTTTGCCCCTTAACCTTTATATATTGTCTTGTAAATTTAAAGTGAATAACTAATGGCTAGGCACAGTGGCTCATGCCTGTAATGCCAGCACTTTGGGAGGCTGAGGTGGGTAGATCACTTGAGGTCAGGAGTGTGAGACCAGCCTGGCCAACATGGTGAAAACCCTGCCTCTAACTTAAAAACAAAAAGTGAATAACTATTGTCCTATCCATTTACTGATTTATGAATGACACTTTTAACAAAACTGCTAATTCCTTGCCTCACAGTTTGTATGCCATGTCTCTCATTCCAAAACAGAAATGCATATCAGCCATTCCATGGTTTACTCTGTTATTACCCATACTTCCTTTCTGTACCATGTGTCATGCAAAGGAGTGTTTCCATACTTAACTATGATTTGCTATTTTCTGGTAGGTATAATTTAAAGATTTCCATTGGTGTAGAAAGCCTTACAATTTTCTCAGTACCTTAGAATCAATAGAACTCTTCCATGGATATTTTTAAATAGGCTTTTGACTTTTTTTGGGTATGCTGACCTGCCTGCCTTTCTGTAGGTATGGCTTCATGTATGCTATGCTGTTTTATGCACTTGAAAAGTTGTTCCACTGCCTCAAAGCTTCCCACCACCACCCTAATCCATCTAGAAAACTCCCGCTAGTTTTTTTAAAGTACATTTTAAGCATTAATTGCTTGTGAAATATTTCTGGGTTTTCTTCACCCTGAGAAATTAGATGGTGGTGGTGGTGGCTATAGTAGCAATTGCTGCTTTATTTTCTCCCAAGCCATATTGGAATAAGCGTGGCATTTATCGAATGGTATTTTGGTGTGTATTATTTTCTACTTTTTCTCCCCTGTATTTTCAGCTCTTGAATAGTTTTTGCTGTTTGTAGGCCTTCATGCAATGTTGAAGATATCATGATTGAATGAATATTGACTGACTAACAAATTAGGGATGGTCTGTATGTGGTGATTCATTCAGTTACCTCTGATTTGTAGTTTGAATTTATTGCAGACCTTCTCTTTTCATATACTGATGAGCATATACTGTATAAACTGTTTTAGCTTAATTCTTTTTTTTTTTTTTTTTTTTGAGACAGAGTCTCACTCTTGTTGCCCAGGCTGGAGTGCAGTGGCACGATCTCGGTTCACTGCCACCTCCGCCTCCCGGGTTCAAGCGATTCTCCTGTCTCAGCCTCCTGAGTAGCCAGGATTACAGGTGCCCACCACCACGCCCAGCTATTTTTTGTATTTTTAGTAGAGTTGGGGTTTCACCGTGTTGGCCAGGCTGGTCTTGAACTCCTGACTTCAAATGATCCACCCACCTCGACTTCCTAAAGTGCTGGGATTACAGGCCTGAGCCACCGTGCCTGGCCTTTAGCTTAATTATTTGTGAGAAATAGGAAGATGGATGGACAGGTTCTATCCTTAGAGAATTCATCTAATCAATAAAATAAGTATGTCTAAAAACAAATAGAGAATGCCATATAAGTTCAGAGGAAAGAGAAATCACTTCTAGTTGGAGGTAATCAGGAAGAGCTTTGTGGAGCAGATGGCATTTAAGGTAGCATTTTTAAGATTTGGGCATTTTGAAATGGGTAAGAAAACATGATCAAAGGCACAGAGGCCAAAACCAAACAAAATAAAGTAAAAATTCTCCTTGATAGAGGCAACTGTGGGTAGTTGAATGTATCAATAATTGGTTTTGTACTTTATTGCCACTTGGAAATCAAGTATCCCAATAGAAAGTTTGTTAAAATTTATATGCAGGCATTTTGTCTATTTTTCATTCTGACCATGAGTTTATCAGGTTTGCTACCATTCTTTTTACTCATATTACTAAAACAGTGCTCTGAAAACTCTTTAACTCTTGTTTGCTAAATTCAGTCATTTATTTCTAAATTCTCATTTTCTTTAACCTTTCTAGATTTCTACTTGGCATTGTTATATATTCACCTCTGATATCAATTTATGAAATACCTTCCCTAGTATAAAGGATGTGAGATCGAAGAAAAGAAACAGATGTCCTCTGTATTCCTGGCTTTTGTGAATAGTACACGATTATGCTTAATCTTTTTATCCTCTGTTTCTATTTCTGCCTTCTTGAAGCAAGGATTCCTCAAGGTTCTATTTTCAGCCTTTGCCTTCTATCTGTCTGTGTCTCCCCTCCACCTCCCATTTTTCTTTTGTCTCTACTTTTCTTTTTTTGGAGTACATGGTTGATGTATAATAAATGTTACAGACTGCATCAGTGTGGGAGAGGAATCTCAACCCCATTATGGCCATGGCTATTTCTCCTTTTCTCTTTGATCTTCGTGTCTAACCCTGACCTCTCCTCTAGCTGTACCTTCAACCCCGAGTACCTGTTATACCTTCTCTACCATTACTTCAAACCAGTTTATGCTTCAGATTTGTCTGTATTAGCAGTGTTATTCTTATTTGGCTAGTTAGCTAGAATTAGAACCTTTCTCTTATACCCTACATGTGGACAGTCTTCAATTACTGTGGATGTTGTCTTCGTCATCTCTTATATATCTATACCTTCTTTATTCCTACTGCTAATATGTATTTTTTGCATTAGTCATCTGTAACCTCTTGTAATGGTAGCTGCTAATTGGTTTCCCCACCTTTAGGTTGTTCCCTTTTTCATTCTTACCTGCAGCCACCAGAGCCATTTTCACAAAACGTTATTTATGTAGCACTCTTTTCCTCTTGCTCAATCTTTAAAGATCAGATCTGAAATACGTAGCAGGATGTCCTAGTCCTTCCATAGTGAACCTACCTACTTTTCTTGTCATTTGCCACCACCTACCCATAGTCAAGTAAACTGGTCACACAATCCCTTAGTCAGTCAGTCTTGCATATTTCTTTCTCTTTTTTTCCTTTTGGAGACGGAGTCTCGCTCTGTCACCCATGCTGGAGTGCAGTGGTGCAATCTCGGCTCACTGCAACCTCTGCCTCCCGGGTTCAGGCAATTCTCCTGCCTCAACCTCCCGAGTAGTTGGGATTACAGGCGCACGTGGCCACGCCTGGCTAATTTTTTGTATTTTAGTAGAGATGGGTTTCACCGTGTTGCCCAAGCTGGTCTCAAACTCCTGAGTTCAGGCAATCCACCCGCCTCAGCCTCCCAAAGTGCTAGGATTACAGGTGTGAGCCACCGTGCCTGGCCCAGTGTTGCATATTTCTAATGACATATTTTGCCTGCATATATATCTTCCTCCTCCACCCCCTGTCCCATCCTCATCCTTCCAGCTCAAGCCCTAGCTCTTTTGCTCTTTTTTTTTTTTTTTCCCCTCCTGGCCTCTAGAACTGACCTATCTCTTTTTGAAGTTCTGTCTTACCCTGGTGCACAGGGTAATATAGAATCTTTGGAACCTTCTAAGAATACTGTGACTAAAACCAAATTTATACCTCAGGCAGAAATCTCGGCAATCTTTGCTAAAGCATTCTACCCTGAGGCATAGCTAATATCCTTAAACATTTGGCAGGATTGTGGCATGGGCAGAAGGGAAAGAAAAAGAGAGAAGAAAACAGGAATGAGAGAATAGGAGAGGAGGAAAAGAATCTTAAATATTTTCTGGTTAATTTGATTGACTGAACTTAACCAGTGCTTGCTAAGTCTTGAGATCCCAAGGGTTGTATGTCGGTGTACAGATAACACTACAGCATCATCAACCATGTCCTCTGGCATGAGACTGATTTACCTTATCCTTAGCAAAACTTAAACCTTACAAATCTCATGATAATTTCTAAATATCTCACTCTTAAATACGAGGTCTATTTCTAGGTCTAGATTTTGAATAACTAGGTCTGTTTCTAAGTCTAGGTCTGTTTCTCCCTGATATCATTAAATTTCTGTTCAACAGACATTCTAAGTGTGCTAAGTGTTGAAACTTTTTTTTTTTTTCTTCCTGAGACAGAGTCTCACTCTGTCTCCTAGGCTCGAGTTCAGTGGCACAATCTCAGCTCACTGCAACCTCCACCTCCTAGGCTTAAGCAGTCTTCCCACCTCAGCCTCCCGAGTACCTGGGACTACAGGCATGTGCCACCAGGCCTGGGTAGAGATGGAGCTTTGCCATGTTGCCCAGGCTGGTCTTGAACTCTTTGACTTAGGCAGTCCGCCTGCCTGAGCCTCCCAGTGGGCTGGGATTACAGGTGTGACCCACTGTGCCCGACCCAAGTGTTAAAACTTATGTTGAAAAATGAATTGGGGCTGGGCATGCTGGCTCACACCCATAATCCCAGCACTTTGGGAGGCTGAGGCAGGTGGATCGCCTGAACTCAGGAGTTGAAGACCAGCCTGGGCAACATGGCAAAGCTCCATGTCTACAAAAAAAGTTGAAAAAATTAGCCAGGAGCCATGACATGCGCCTGTAGTTCCATCTACTTGGGAGGTTGAAGTGGGAGGATCCTTGAACCTAGAAGGCAGAGGTTGCAGTGAGCTGAGATTGTGCCATAGCACTCCAACCTGGGTGACAGAGTGAGACCCCGTCTCAGAAAAAAAAAGTGAATTGGTATTGCATGTCTTTGCTAAAGAGATGTATGGAAATATACATGAAGGACTATTTTCTGAATTCATGTTTTTTATTGATCAGGACACATGAACTTTAATACTATAAAAGCATCCATAATATTGTAGAGTGTAAACTTGAAAGTGGAATAGATTGGCATCATCAGCCAATAACTCTTGAGTTTATTGTGGAAAATTAGTCTTTTTATTTCTAGAATTTTTGAGTAAATATATTATTTAAAATTTTAAGGAAATACCCAGTCTTTTCTGATGAGGGAGGGGACTCAGGAGTAATTTCTGAGTTGAAAATATTTTCATTTTTTGTTTCTATTTTTAAAATCATTTTGATAAATGGGAAAAATACTGAAAGAATGATGTTGAGCTATTGATCCATGCATGGAATTTCTTTCTGTTAATAACTGAGGCTACATTATTCTGAAGAAAGACCATATCAAGAAAAGAGAGAGAAACCTTTCAAGTTTATAATTTGATTTTTTGTAGTGTGTTTTGTCTTATAGGTAAAAGATTCTCCTTTTTTTTTCCATCAGTATTATTTCAAATTTTGGTTTGACTAAGTTATTAGTCTTCAAATTATAGCAATTAAAAAAATTTTACAGAAAGAAATGGGTAAAAGGCAAGATAAAGTATAAGAGTTATAATTCAAATATTACATTATTTTGACATTTTTCTGAAGAGCTGATGATTTAAGCTATACCTGGGCATGGTTTCAGCAGAACCTAGGTGAGATATCTTAATCATATATCTAAAGATTAAGATTCTTTATTGTGTATATCCTCTAGTCTTTTTTTTTTTCAAGAGACAGGGTCTTGCTGTGTTGCCCAGGCTAGAGTACAGTGGCATGATCATAACTCACTGTAACCTTGACCTCCTGGGTTTATGTGATTCTCCCACCTCAGCCTCCGAAGTAGGTGGGAGTATAGGCACATGCTGTGTGCCACCATACCCAGCTAATTTTTTTGGGGCGGGGCTATAGGCAGGGTCTTAATATGTTGACCAGGCTGGTCTCAAACTCCAGGCCTCAAGCAATCCTCCTGACTCAGCTTCCCAGAGTGCTGGGATTATAGGCATGAGCCACTGCTTCCAGCCTATATCCTCTAGTCTTAAATGAGAGTTTATAGTTATCACATTATGTTAGGTAAAGCAAATGTGGTCGTATTATTATTATTATTATTATTAGAGACAGAGTTTTGCTTTCGTTGCCCAGGCTGGAGTGCAGTGGCACAGTCTCGGCTCACTGCAACCTCCGCCTCCCAGATTCAAGCAGTTCTCCAGCTTCAGCCTCCTAGGTAGCTGGGATTACAGTCATGCACCACCATGCCTGGCTAATTTTTTGTATTTTTAACAGAGAAGGGGTTTCACCACATTGGTCAGGCTGGTCTCGAACACCTGACCTCAGGTGATCCACCTGCCTTGGCCTCCCAAAGTGCTGAGATTACAGGCGTGAGCCACCGTGCCTGGCCTAGTCATATAAATCAGAGACCATGGGAATATTAATAATTTTTAAAGTACTTGTATTGAAAGTAAAATCTGTTTTGGTTCCTTTAAACTTTTAACAAATTATAGGAGCAGTTAATGCTAATTTAAATGTGTATGAACGATTGGAAATTTATCTCTAAATTAGTAAGCGAAAACCAGCCACCACCCCATTCCACCGCCTGGAGGTACTAGTTTTGTCTTAATGGCTACACACACACACACACACACACACACACACACACACACACACACACGTGTGTATATATATGTATATGTATGGCATATAATGGTATGTGTATATATAATGTGTGGACATATGGCATATATTGGTGTGTATGTCAACCAATACATTACGTATATGTGTATACATATACATACATGTCTAACTTATATGTGACTTAATAAAAGCTTAACTAATTACACAATAAATTTTTTAGTTTTTTCATTTTATTTGGAGCACTGCTTTTCAAAGTCTAATTACATACATAATTTATTGATTGATGTACACATAGATTCATACATGCATGCATACCCCTATATAATTTCATTTACAAATATAGAACTATAACACATTATTAAACAACATAATATTTTTCTTTCTTTCTTTTTTTTTTTTTTTTAGACAGAGGCTCACTTTGTTGCCCAGGCTGGAGTGCAGTGGTACGATCTCGGGTCACTGCAACCTCAGCCTCCCAGGTTTAGATGATTCTGCCACCTGAGCCTCCTGAGTAGCTGGGATTACAGGCACCCACCACCACGCCCGGCTAATTTTTGTATTTTTAGTAGAGATGGAGTTTCGTCATGTTGGCCAGGCTGGTCTCAAACTCCTGACCTTAGGTGATCCGCTCGCCTTGGCCTTCCAAAGTGCTGGGATTACAGGCATGAGCCACTGTGCCTGGCAATTTTTTTCATTTAATAATGCATCAGTCGTATCTTTTCACCTTGTATGTATAGTCTAGAAGAATTTAAATCTTTCTCTGGAAATTGACTAGGCCTTCAATAACATTTGGGGATCACTTTCATGCTTAAATTATGTCAGTTGTTTTAGGATTTGAATTACAGTCTTTCATCTTAAATACAACAGCATCTGGGAATTTCCTCTATAATTAAGTCACCAAATATTGAACTGGGTTAACTCTTGAAGTTTAAGTTAGTCAGTCATAGTTCATTATTACAGCCTTTTATGATGTATAAGACATATCATCATTTTCCAGTCTTCATATCAAGAAGAATCTTAGGAGATTTAATAGTGATTTAAGATACTAGCTTATAAGTGTATATGTGGCCCATCCTGCTGTACTGCTATGTATGAAATGACAGAAGTGTACAGGGAGGAAGAAGGATTAATAATTATTTGATTTGATTAGAAGAGGAAATTTAGCATAAGGTTTTATTGCAGAAACATTCTTTTTTTTTTTTTTTTTTTAAAAAGAAAGGTGTCACTATGTTGCCCAGGCTAGACTTGAACTCCTGGCCCAAATGATCCTCCCTAGTAGCTGGGACTACAGGCACATGCTGCTGTACCCAGTCTTTTGTTATTTCTTAATTACCATTTTAATACCTATACAGGAGACTGTTAGAATATATAGTCCTCTCATATCTGTGGGAGATTGGTACCAGGATACACCCTCTCACACCCCTGCAGATACCAAAATTGGCAGATGCTCAAGTTTCTTATATAAAATGGTGTAGTATTTGCATATAACCTATGTTCATCCTCTTGTAGACTTTAAATTATCTCTAAATTATAATTTCCAAAACAATGTAAATGCTATGTAAATAATTATTATAACTATTGTCTTTAAAATTTGTATTATATTTTTGTTATTATACAGTATTGGGTTTTTTTTATTGCTTTTCACAAATATTTTGTTTGCAGTTGGTTGAATTCACAAATGTGTAACCCAAGGATAAGGAGGGCTGACTGTATATTATAATCCCTTAAGGTATGGCAAAGCACATCTGAAATGTTATGAGGCTTTGATAATCTCTGTTAAGAATTGACAAAGTAGGGTTTTATAGTTCTAATGGTGAGAGAGACTATAAAACTGTGTATTAAGAGCAACTTTTTTTTTTTTTTTTGAGATGGAGTTTTGCTCTGTTGCCCAGGCTGGAGTGCAGTGGCGGGATCTCGGCTGCGGTGGTGAGCCTTCGCCTCCTGGGTTCAAGCAATTCTCCTGCCTCAGCCTCCCAAGTAGCTGGGATTACAGGGTGCATGCCACCACGCCCAGCTAATTTTTGTATTTTTAATAGAGACAGGGTTTTGCCATGTTAGCCAGGCTGGTCTCGAACTCCTGACCTCAAGTGATCCCCCTGCCTCAGCCTCCCAAAGTGTTGGGATTACAGGTGTGAGCCACACCACCCGGCCAAGAGTAATTTTTAAAAAATGTTTTTCCATGTATGAGAAGTTGCTTACAATATTTAGTTTTGTGCTGTAGCATTGTTTTGCTTTTTGGCTTTGCCTGTGTCCTTATCTATTTCTCCCATAAACTGTGAATTCATTGACAACAGAACTGTGTTCATTTCTCCAGGGCTTAGTACAATATTTTGTCTGCAATAGATGTTCAATAAATGTTTTATTAATTATACTGAATAGATTTATTCTTGTTCTTCATGTGTAATGCACATAGAATCAGTACCAGCAAATTGAAGATAATCGAGTATAGTGGTCCTCCTAATCTGTTAGAACTGAGTTCAGGTAAATGTTTAACCAAGAATACCATCAAAATATGCTATAGCCATTTTGACTCTTAAAAATCTGTTTCTTCTGAACAATCCTAAAATAAATTACAGTGACCGTAAAAGGAGAAGAATTACACTGATGGGGGCGGGGCATGGAGGGCATGGTAATACTTAAATTCTCACAGATGCCCTCACAGTTGCATTTAATCCTCATGGTTTAATCATCCAAAAGCATGTTACAATATTACTGGCTCTCCACGATTAGGGACGTCATAGCCCCTGAAACTTATTTAGAATTATTTACCATTTTGAAATTTTGAATGCTTGTTCCAAATAGAAGATTTCGTAGGATCAATAGTTACAACTGGTTTGTCTTTTAATAAACATTAATTTTCACTTTCTGCTCACTCTGTGTCCTTTTTCTAAGGATTACTTAGCAGTTTTCTGATTTTTGATGGGCCATTTAGGCTCTGAAAGCCAACTCTTGAACCTATTGTGCTTTGTCAGACAAACCTAACACCTGTCCATGTTTGTTACTGCTTTTAATATCTGTTATAGAAATATGTGTGCACATGTGTATTTGTATATAATGGCAGGGTGGGTATAGCAGCTCCCTAAAAGGAGAAAAGCAACTGGCTTTTCTGAAAAGACCTTTCCACCCCCACCTTTTTGCAGACAGCCGGAGTTAATCCTTCCAAGTTTGACTGGAACAGCTGAGCAAGTGTACCCTGCATATCTGGAGGCCTCCAGTGGACTCATGTTGCCTCAGAGTTGGGGCCACTTTCTTCTTTTCTAGTGCTGATCCTGCCAGCTGTCCTAACCTCTGTTAAAGCACAGCGAGGGAGGTGTTAAATGATACAAAAACATACAGTGTCATGAAAGGGATCCCCTTACTGCGTGTATCAGTGTGACTTTTTTCTCCCATTCCTTTCCGTGGCAGAAAGGTTTTATACTGTTAATCCTAACACCTGTCTCTGCCGGAGACAGTGAGAAGGGTGTGTGTGTGTGTGTGTGTGTGTGTGTGTGTGTGTGTGTGTATGAGAGAGAGACAGAGAATGCGCATGCGTGCACACGGGTACATGCTCCCCGCCCAAGAAAGAATAGAGTAGTAATACCAGTCCCATCTGCCTTTCTGTGTCCTGGATTGGGAGTATTCTCTGACGCACTTAAAGCCTGGAACATATATATTATTTTGGCTCCTGGATACCTTAGACTTCCTACCGTGTTTGTGTGCCAGTGTGAGGAGCCTGTGTTCCCTTCCCTGGCTGTCATTCTCTGCCTCTTGAGTTTCTGGTTGAGTTGTCAATTTAAAAACCAACAGTAACAGCAAATCTCCAGTGTAGTTTTCAGTCTGTAACTAGTAACTCAAAGCTTTTTGCTTTTTTCTGAACATCTCTTCTGTGTATTGTCAAATCCTGTTGGGGTGGAGGCCTGGTCTCAACCAAGCTCCGACTTCATCAGCTGAGCCAGCATACCTATCTGCGTAGACTGGAGGTCAGCGAAGGATTTTTTTGGTGCTACCTAGTTCCTTTGGACAGGACAGCCAGCGCAAACAAGGCAAAAACTTAGACACTTTTTGTACTGTCCTTATCTGAAGATTTTTTCCCTTTTGCTATGTATGGTGTATATTGTATGGATTATCAATATCCTGTTGTCCAGGTAAGCTAAGGGTTATAATTTCTAGATACTGTTTGATTTATGTGAAGCTTTATGGTGGAATGAAATGCCTACAAGGCTTTCTGTCTTTTGACCCGGTACCATTCAGAGCCTAGCTTTCCCAGTGCTTTTTGCTAATTTACTGTAATAAGAGGATTTAATTTATAGTATTGGCGGCCAGACAAAGGTGGTTGGCATTCACCCCTAGAAGTTCTGAAACTTTGGAGAGATTCTGTGTGTCTGTGTGTGTGTGTGTGTGTGTGTGTGTGTGTGTGTTTGTGTGTGTATGTGTGTGTGTGTGTTTTGAACCAGGTGGGCTGGACAATATAAATGTAATGTAAAAAACCCATCATATTATGATAAACTTTAGGCTTTGTTTTGAGCAGATGAGAGGCACAGTTGGCAGTTTCCAAATGTTGTATTTTCCAGAAAGGTAATATATAAAGTAGAGGGCATCTTTCCCCACTAAGACTATTTTTAGTCTAACGTTTTAGACTATTTTGTGATGACATTAGTAACATCTTATTTGTTAACTTGTTGAAATTTAGAATCAGAAAATGTTAGGTCATTGCCAAGCATATTTCTGAATATCTTATAGTAAGAAAAATTGAAGTTAGGAGTCCTGGATTCTGGTTCCAGCAATAGAGTTAACCACCACCATGTTCATGCTCAAATAACTTCAATTTTTCTTGACTTTAGTTTTGTTGTATATAAAATGAAGGAGTTGGGCCAGATGACCTCTGAGCTATCATGATTTTTTGAAATATTGTGATGGAAACCTAGAATAAGAAAATAAATACAGTTAATACAATTAATTCTGAATTAAAGATACTACTTGGTCTGTCAGTTTGTTTTAGTTTGTTTTCATGTTCCTTTAATTATTTTTTTCTTTCAAATAGCCATTTCTCTAATAATTAGCACCTATGTTGCAGGTTGGACCGGAATGCATAGAGTTAAAAGAAATAATGGACTAACTAGTACATCTTATTAGGTATTTTGGGCCTAAAGGCCCAAGCTATTTTGGATTGGGCCTGTTGGGTAAGCTCTCTGGAGTAAACTTACAGCTTTCATTCAAGTCTAAAGCTATCAATATTGCAATCATATGGCAGTGGCTGTGATTATGTTTCTCTTTAACTATATTCTAATAGAGGTCTATATTATATGTTTTATATTAATGATATAACTGTTTCTGTTATTTTGGATTATTCAAATTAAGAGTATTTTATATTTACGATAATGAGGTTTTGATATATTTGTGGATTTCACTTATCTATGAACTGTATCTCTACTGACATAAAACAATAGCTTGGGCTTTGTAACAGCTTAAGGCTGGAAGTGTTATGAGACTAGATTAGAACCAGGTCTTTTTACAAGTAAATATTAATGTGCTTTCAATGAGAAACATCTGTGAACAGTAAATTTCTGACCCACAACCAGCAAAGTATGGGAATTATAGTAACTATAACATAAGTAAAATTCTTTGAGGAAAAAGTTGAAAAAGTAAAAATGTTTCCCAAGTGAATTGAAGTATTAGACATATATGAAAAAATAATTACAGTATGTAATTGAATTTTTTGAGGAAGGAAATTGACCATCTCCCCCTCCCAATTTTGGGGTGGATTAAAGAGTTCCTGTTCAGAAATTATGACATGGTTTGATGAAAGTCTTTTGCAGCAAAATTCTAATCAATATTCATAATAAGATGAATTTTCCACCCCCAATTTTTTTGGTTATTAGTATTTAGTACTGATAAATGTAGTGCACAGTATTTGAAACTACACTTTCCTGGCTTTACTCCATTTGTAGGTTTATTCTATCTGAAATTAACGTCGTTTAGAAATGGAGGTAATGGGATATTAAAATTTAAGGGTTTACTCTCCATTCTGCCACATAGGAAAGCTAATGGGATTAAAAAAAAACAATTTTAAATTGAAGGATCCCAAGCTATTTTACAATCTTATTTATTACTTTTTTAAAGTAACAGTTTTTTTCAGTGCATTTATAAATGAGTAGTAGATGGTTGGTTACTACCCAAACTCTTAACTACAGTTATAAAATGTTTTTAGCTTCTTTTATATATTCTTTTGCTTAGTTAAATCCAAGCTTTCCATTGCATAATGCTTGCAGTTTCATACTAATGCATTATACAGTTGGACGTTATGGAGGACATGATTGAACAGTATTTCTTTTAATGAAAGGTTTTACATCTATTTTTAATTAAGTTATTTCTAGAATTGCTAGTTTTGAGTTAATGAAACAAAGTGAGTTCTCTTCAACAGAAAGTTCGAAAATATTTTAGGTACTTGACCTTTCATTGCTAAATCATGCCTATTTTAAGAGTGTGCCATTGAAAATGATTATTTTATTAGTTATAATTTTCGTAGAACCTAGTCTGGCCAAATTAGTTTAAAATCAGGCAGAGTAAGGAGATACAGGCTTGCTTGTGATTTAAGGGACAATGAATGTAGTCTCCCTGCCCAGACAAATCTATTTAAGAAACTGTTCCTGAAGTTATTCTTATAGACAGTCTTTCAGATTAAACATTTACTGCCTCTGATCAGATGGTTAAAATGTAACTTGTTGCAAGTTAAGGGTATTGTCTTTTATCACAGGTTTTCCTTAGGCACTTTTACTTAACCTGTCATCCAAGTGGTGAATGGGGCAGTTGGAGGAAGAGGAAACAGGGTCTTAAATTATTGGAGGTATAGCTAAATTTCCTGATTTGAGGGTTTAGGGTAGCCAAGGACAGCTTAAGGATATTAGGCATCTAGAAAATTGAGAGACAGAAATTTACCTATCTAAAGGACACTTTTTCTTTTGAAACAGAGTTTCTTTCTTGTCACCCAGGCTGGAGTGCAGTGGTGTTATCTCGGCTCACTGCAACGTCTGCCTCCCGGGTTCAAGCAGTTCTCCTGCCTCAGCCTCCCAAGTAGCTGGGATTACAGGTGGGCATCACCACACCCAGCTAATTTTTTTTTTTTTGTATTTTTAATAGAGACAGGGTTTCACCATGTTGGTCAGGCTGGTCTTGAACTCCCATCCTCGGGTGATCCACCTCCTCGGCCTCCCAAATTACAGGCGTGAGCCACTATGCCCAGCCTAAAGGACACTTTTGATATTGAGGTATGCTCAGGTCCTCAAAATGCTGTAGAGTATATTAGGCTCTCCATTTCTTCATGGGAAGTTGACCTTGGTGTTAAGCAGTACACACACACACACACACACACACACACACACACACACAACTATATAAATTTATTTACTTATATAGTTTATACTTATATAGTTTGTGTAATTATATTAACTTATATAGTTTATACTTACATAGTTATATAATTATATTAACTTATATAGTTTATACTTATATAGTTTATGTAATTATATTAACATATGCAAGTTTATAATTATAGTGTATGTAATTATATTAACATATGCAAGTATAGTTTATACTTATATAGTTTATGTAATTATATTAACATGCAAGTTTATACTTATATAGTGTATGTAATTATATTAACATATGCAAGTATAGTTTATACTTATATAGTTTATATAATTATATTAACATGCAAGTTTATATAATTTATATAAATTGAATTTATTTTCTCATTCTGAATTAGTTTATTGTGTACCAACTGTTTTTTGAGTACCTACTGTGTGCCAGATACTATGCCAGACACAGGGATATTAGTGGTGAACAAGACAACAAAGTTTCCTGTAACTTAATAATAGAGGCATGGCATATTCGTGGCATGCCGTTGGATAAAGAGCAGTCTTCAATTTTCACAGATTAATCATGTATTATCTTCTTGACAACCCAGTTATTGATAAATTTGTTTACATCCCATCCATTTTCATATTTGTCTGAGAACCTTTTCCTTAATCCCTCACAGGGATGTGTACAATGTACACATAATTTCAGTTGTATGTATGACTCTAGTTATCTGGGGTTTGGGATTTCTTAAAGATATGAATAAGTTACCCAAAGACATGTAGTAATTTGTGAATTAAATTTTTTGATTTGCCTGGCCTCACTGATGTCTTAGTTTATGTTATTTGTGGTTTTGTGCTAAAGGTTTGACTTTGGGGAACAGGAAATAAATGAGGATTGTTTTTTATAAGCCTATAAGATCTAAAGCATTTGATTTCAAATTTCACACTCACTTTTTTTTTTTTTTGAATGGTGAATGGGTTCTATATGACTGAACTCTGCCTAAACTAGAGAAATAAAGTTAGGGAAATAATAGAGTTAGCTGTAATTTGACTTCATTTATGTTAAGGGGAATGTTGGGGCAAAGGATATTAAAGTGGTATTGTATTAGAGGTGCTTCTGGAAAGGTATTTAATATCTGTTAGGTGTAAATTGTTATTTACACTTAGTTAGGGTTATTGTGTGGGGGCGTGCCGTGAAGAGCCTTTATACCAACAAGTTTTTATTATTGCAGGAAATGCTCTCCCTTTAATGTTGCCTTTCACTTGGGTGTCAGAGGCAGCCTGGGAAAGTTGGAGCAAGCCCTGCCTTGTAGACAGGGACTCTTAGATCCACTTTTATAGCAGTGCTGGTATGTGGGTGGAAGGTAGGGAAGCTGAGTTACTTCTGTATGACAAGAACACCTAAAAAAAATTTTTTTTAAATGAGTGGGTATTATTTTGTCTAGAATCTGAACTATTCTAATAAAATTGAAAATAAAGCCTTTCTCCCACTCTTTTTGTACATCTTCCTTTCAGCTTCAGATTTCTGAAAGATACTGAAAATAAAACTGAAGTAAGGCCAGGCGCGGTGGCTCACGCCTGTAATCCCAGCACTTTGGGAGGCCAAGACGGTTGGATCACCTGAGGTCAGGAGTTCAAGACCAGCCTGGCCAACATGGTGAAACATATCTCTACTAAAAATGCAAAAAAAAAAAAAAAAAACTGCCGGGCATGGTGGTGTGTGCCTGTAATCCCAGCTACTTGGGAGGCTGAGACAGGAGAATCGCTTGAACCTGGGAGGTGGAGGTTGCAGTGAGCTGAGATCGTGCCACTGCACTCCAGCCTGGGCAACAGAGCGAGACTCCACCTCAAAAAAAAAAGTGAAGTAAATTTATAAATTTGAAGATATCTCCAAGTGCGCTCTTGGAAGAAAGAATGCTTTTATAATATTTTGATAACTACATAGGTGCTCTTCATTCTGATGTATCCATGTGTGAATAAATAAATGGCTAGAGTAATAGAAATCAAGGCATTATTGTTTGATTTCAACAAACATTCATTTACTGTGTATTCAGATACTGGGTTAAGAACTGGGGATATAGTATAAAACATGATTTCTACCCTCAGACTGCTCATAGTCTAGTCATAGTTATGCAGAACAGTAACTCCAACCGTTATGTACCATGGATTAGGTGCTAAGGTAAAGTATGCTCACAGATAAGGGTACCTAAACCAGATGTGGGAGCAAGTAGGGTCAGGAAAGGCTTTCTGGAGTAGGGGATTTCTGAAGTAAGCCTTGAAGGATGAATAACCCATATAGTCGGCCATATTCAAGGGAAAAAGAATAGAAACATGGTGTTCAGAAGAGATGTATGTGCTCAAAAATAGAAATGTGGGAGCCGTCAGGGTAAATTCTTGGTAACTGAAGTGATAGAATGAGTTGGAACACCTTGAGCAAGTGTGGTCAGCAATGTTAACTTCTTTGAGGTTTGGACCCTTTTGAGAATCTGATAAATACTACAGATCCTCTCTGCGTGGAAATGCATATAAGAAAAATTTCTACTGGGGTGCCTGTGTTAGGAACCATGCACTTTGGGTTAAGAACCTCTGGTGTGCAGTAAAAAGAGATCTGAGGATGACACCTTGCAAGTAACAACAACAATTGAGAGGATGGTAGAGGAGGAAGAAGAGTACGATGGAGAAGAGGGTGAACAGGGAAAGAGGAAAGTTAAGAAAGACTGGTATCATTTTAAGTTAAGAGTGAGAGTTTCCCAAAGGAGGGAATGCCAAATACCACAGACAAATCAAAGAAGACATAAAATGTCCATTAAATTTGGCCATGATTTGGAGGTCTTCAGTGACTTCAGTAAGGTAAATTTCAATTGAGTAGTATGGAGGAAAGGAAGCTGGGGTTCTGGAGATTGGATGAAACACTCAAAGAGTTGAGACTACAGGGAGAAGTACCTCTTTCCTTCATTTGTTTATTTAATAAATATTTCTTGAGTACTTACCACGTCCCAGACACTGTCCTGAAAGCTGGGGATTTGTCCATGGAGAAGGCAGGGCCTCCTTCATTAGCTGACATCTCATCGTGCCCACCCTGTTCCAAAGCTTCCCAGCCCCTGCCTGTCTCTCTCCTCCCAAACACACATACAGGAAATGTCCTAAAATGATTTTCTCCTTGGTACATTACCGGGCACATTCAGCCACCAGGGGACTCCAGTTTTGCTGGGTCAGACCCAGGCTGCTCAATTGCTCTTCTCTCTCTTGGACACCAGGGAGCAAATTGTCCTCTATAATACCAGGGACACACTTCAAAATATCATTGTGCCAGTCAGACCTCACTATGAGCCTGTCATTCAGTGAGTTTATAAAAATCATTGTAACATTTTTTTTAAGCTTGTACCAATTCTTTCCTGTAATAAATTTTTAAGCCTATTTGCACTGTAAAATATTGGTTCTAAATGTAGAAAAGTAGCATGAATTCCTGGCCTGAGGAAACCTTTATCCTAGTCTTGGACTTTTTGCATGTGGGGACCCCTCATTTGCCCTTTTCTTTAAAAACAAAATAAAACAAAACAAAAAAACTCCTTGGGGCCTTGTCTCTTTCCATGATGTATGGAGGCTGCAGTCACACCTAAGTGTCAAGGTAGCTGCTGCTTTTCTAAGGATGGGGGCGGGGGACATTGTGGGGGAGATGCTATCTTCTTAGTGCCCCAGGCTTTTTGTCAAGAATAGTGTAATAAACCAGAGGATTCAGAGAATGATACACAGTGATTCTGAGGTTTATTTCAATTATTAGAACTGAAAACACAGTTATCCCATTAGTATGATTCAAGATTTTTTCCAAAAATACACTGGGTTGCTCTTGCTTCCAGTGAAACTCACCTGCCCATTTTCTGCTTACTCACTTTGTCTTTAGAAAATTTGACTGCTTTTTATCTCCTTCTGATTGGCTTTTCAGTTGCAAATTCAGAGAGTACTATATATTCTGTGTTCCAGGTCACTTCTAAAAAGTGTTAAATAAGAACAGGCCTAGTACTTATCTATATTACTTTACTCAGCGTTTTTCCTAATATTTGAAGATCTCATTCTTTTTAAAATTATTACTATGGATTATGCCACAAGTATACAGATATCTGTAAAATGCACAGAATAGAGCCTGATATACTATGTTACATCAGTTTCTCCAGGTTCCACAGATGGTCCTGTATTTCCTGTGTTCCTTTCAGAATTGTTAAAATGATTATTAATTTAGGAGCGGGTGTAATGATGTTGTATTGGCAGTGTGCCAGCCAATGGTGTTATACAACACATTTTTTTAATTTTAAAATTTTAAAAATTGAATTCACAATAGAGATAGGGATTTGCCATGTTGCCTTGGCTGGTCTTGAGCTTCTGGGCCCAAGAAATCCACCAGCCTTAACCTCCCAAAGTGCTGGGATTACAGGTATGAGACACTGCGCCTGGCCAATACAGAACATTTTTAAAAGCCTGGTACTGCATGTTGCCAAACAGTCCTTATGGAGACAGCAAAAAACTATGTATTCTCAGTGTGATTTGTTATTTTGAATTTAGATTTCTGTAGATGTTTATTTTTTAAATGGAGAGCTCGTGTTGTTAGCCGTGGGCTTGTAAAAAATAAAAATAGATAAAAATTAAAAATGGGAAGCTTAATTTTGGAATTAATCTTTTTAACCTTTGGGTAGTCTTTTAGAAAGTATATCCTAAAAATACATAGCATAACTAAAATATCTCATAAATCCTTCAGAATGAGCTATTTATTAGAATGCTGTAAAAAATTAGAAAATCTTAATTTTATGAGACAACTGATAAACTCATCATTTTATAAATTGTTTTATTTGAATGTGTGATAATATAAAATAGGGAAATTATGAAGTTTATATTCAGAGGTTAAAGATTTTTCCAAGATCACTAGTAAAGGGCAGAATTAGACCAACTTCTGGACTGAACCACATCTTTGATGCATTTTTTAATTATATTATTTTAATAAGAGAACTTTAAAGAAACTCTTATTGTCAGTATTCTCCTAAACCTGTAGCTACAGCATTCTATAACAATTACTATTTACAATAATGACACAAATTTCTAGGGTATATATAAGAAAGGATTTACCTTTTTCAATAAAGGCTGAAACATAGAAGGCTGGAGAAAACAAAAGGTGAATTTTCAGTTAACCAAAATTTTATTGAAGCTGGAAGCCTTAAGCAAATTTGCATGCACCTTTGTGTATCTCTTAAGTTTCTTAAGCAGTCATATTTGTAGACACCTTTTTCAGAGTCTCCAGGTATTTTTTATAGTAGGAAAAAAATCATTTAAATTACCTCTCATTACCTGTGTCCTCTCTTTTAGTCCTTTGCTCTCACTAGGCTGGTTTGGTCTTCCAGGACAAGCAAGTTCTTGCATATTCCTGTTCCTTGAAAAACCTTCCAGTTAGTGGTCATGTAATAGCTTTTCACTTCTTCACATCTTTCTTGTTAAATCCACTGCATCTATAAACTGTACATCAGTAAAAATGTTTTATTAATATTAAAAATAATTTTGTTTCATTTCTTATTTGACATTCATGGCTGGAATCTCTTAAATCTGTATGAACTATAGTAAGCTGCTATGAATGCTTCCAGTGCTATATAATTAATTCCATCATCGCATCCTTAAAATATGCCAGCACATGGCGCTTGCCCCTCCCTACCTCCTCCCCCCTACACACACACACACACACACACACACGCACACACGCACACACGCGTGCGCACAGCGTACACCAAACTGCCATTCTCCAGCAGGCCTGCTTCTGGAGTTGGGAGATGTCAGCCTGCTGGGAGGGGGTGGGGGGAGGAGGAAGAGGTGGGGCTCTACTCTGATTAATTACCTTAGGCATTCAGGGGTGGGGCTTCCTTCAGCCATCTGCCTGAGATATGGGAGGGAGCTGGAGAAAGAAGGAGGGGGAGAGACTGCCAGAGAGGAAGAGAAAAGAAAGGAAGAAACATTAGAAAGAAAAAGGAAGGAAAACGGTATAAAGAGAGATCAATTACCCACCCTTAAATAGCTAGATTGGGGGGGGAGGGGGGTGGAAAAGAAAGCTGTGGAGGTGTGCCCCAGCACGGCTGCTTTGAAAGGTTTATCATCTATCCGTTTGGTTTATGGAGAAAAAGAAAATGGTAACTCAGGTAAGATTTGTGCTTCCTCGGCATGTTTCTTTTCTCCTCTCTGGGATCTAAATAAAGGTTTGAGGGTGGAGTATAGTAAGAAGAGTTTTAATCATTATTGTCTTCTTAGAACAGACCAGATTTATTGTTATCAGCTGAAAAGTCTGTGTCTGTTGAGTCCGTTTATGTGTGTGTTATGTATCCGTATCCTTTCTTCCCCCTCCCTCAACTCCATAGCAGATTCCTGTTTCCTGTACTGTGCAGCTGTAGCTCAGGAAAGACCCTGTGGGGATTTGTCTACCTCTTTGTCTTGGTTCTGAGAAGAGGGAGGGAGAGAAAGACTGCAGAGGTAGGAAGAGATTCTTGTAGACTGCCAAAAAGAGGGGAGCAGGATTCCTTTTAAGAATTTCAGAAGAATTTGTGTTATAGGGAAATCTGATTCCTTGTTCACTTTGGTTTCTCAGGATTGGCTATGGAATTGTAGTTTTGCTGTTACTCTAAACTGCTTATTAAAAATGAAGGTTAGAAAAGAATGTTTCATTTTCATGCCTTTGTTACTGGCAAAGAAAATTTTCAGTAGGAGCATTCAGGTGTGACAGAGGCAGGTAGAGCCCTCCTTGACAGGAGAACGAATCTGAATGTATAAATCACAATCACACAGGCTTTAAAATACATTTGAAGGAGAGAGAGTAGGAAATGGAAGATACCTCTCCTCCCTCTGTCTCCCCTCTCGTTTTTCTCTCTTCTCTTCTCTCTCTCCCACTCCCACTCACTCTCTCCCCCAACCCCCTCAATCCCCCTTTCTCTCCTCATCCTTTTCCCCTCTTTCTCCCTGCCTCTTTTTGGTTATGCCAGGCAATATCTAATCTGCATTTTAGCAAGTCATTCCTGACAAATGGAAAGGTGAATGCTCTTCCACAGTTCTCCCTGGCAAGGCAATTTTTCTTGTTAGCATCCTTCTGTACGCTCCATTACCCTTTTTCCTTTATGTATAGGTTAAGAGGAAATGATGAGGCTCTGATTTATCAATGAGAAATCATTTACACTGTAGGACATTCAAATCCTTTAGTCTCAGACTTAAGATCAGTTTCACTCCAGGTTTCTATGCTCTGTGGAAATTTCATCACTGGACAGTGCTTTCCTTTTAAGGAGGTTGCCCTTTTTTTGTGTTCTCTCTTCTCTTCCTCTCCCAGTAACCACCGGAGGGCGAGAGAGCCAGCTAGTTATCAGGATGGAGGCATCATTTTAGGAGCTGGAATCCTGTTTAGTTATATAATGCCCTGCAGTGCTGTTTGGAAGGAGGGAAACCTGTAGGGATATTTTCCCATTGGGACCCAGAGGAAAGAAGTTTCAAATATATCTTTTCAAAGTAATTTTTCACCAAATCTGAGTTTAGAAAATTTCAACAAACTCCTTCCTCTTTTGGAAAAGCGGAGAAGCTTTTGAAATGTTTCTCTTCCATGTGTTATCCCCTCATCATCAGTCTAATTACCTCTTTTGAAATACTGCTTTATGCTCTCGGCCTTAGCGCCATTTTTTTGGAAACCTCTGTGCCATGAGAGCCAAGTGGAGGAAGAAGCGAATGCGCAGGCTGAAGCGCAAAAGAAGAAAGATGAGGCAGAGGTCCAAGTAAACCGCTAGCTTGTTGCACCGTGGAGGCCACAGGAGCAGAAACATGGAATGCCAGACGCTGGGGATGCTGGTACAAGTTGTGGGACTGCATGCTACTGTCTAGAACTTGTCTCAATGGATCTAGAACTTCATCGCCCTCTGATCGCCGATCACCTCTGAGACCCACCTTGCTCATAAACAAAATGCCCATGTTGGTCCTCTGCCCTGGACCTGTGACATTCTGGACTATTTCTGTGTTTATTTGTGGCCGAGTGTAACAACCATATAATAAATCACCTCTTCCGCTGTTTTAGCTGAAGAATTAAAAAAAAAAAAAGAAAAGAAATACTGCTTTATTTTTTAAAAAAAATTTACATAAAAGATAAATCCTGTTTCTGGATTCTCTTTTTGCTTGGGAGATGATACTTGCTTAACCTTAGAGCCCTCATTCAATTTTTATTAACTGGCAATATTAGAGGGTAACAGCTCTCTTCTTGCTTAGCAATTACTGAAGGCTTTTCAATGACTTGACTTTTCATTATTTATTTTTTAAACTAGTGAAAGAATGATCTAAAATGGAAATTTTTATGATGAGTTTTCTATTGCCTCTTGGAACATTTCCCCTTAGTTTCTAGAGGAGCTGGTAAGTGTAGTGTGTGTGACCATTAAGTTAGAGTGCACATGCTTATGCACACTTAATATTGTGGTCGTAATAATTAGTATTTAAAGAAGCCATAAGTTTAGGAATGAAGTAGAAGAAATAAATGGAAACTGGAAAGAGAGATTCTGGGGTGCTTAATAATTCTAATAATAAAATCACCTGTTTTATCAGGATGTGCTAAATATTGAAGAAAAGTTATGAGTTTTTGCCCATCCTGAAATTATACAACTGGCAAGGATAGAATATCAAATTTGTGAATTTTCAGTATTCCAGCGTATTTGTTTTGTTGTATATACTTTCTGTGTTAATGTAATGTACATAGTTGTTAGTAATCTAGGGGGAAAACAATCAAAGGAAATAACCAGCTGGGCCAAGTCTTTCATTTGTCCTGTGGTTGTGTTGTGTTGTGCCTGCGTGTGTGTGTGTGTGTGCACATGTGTGTGTGTGTGTGTTTGAGCCAGACATCCAATCCCAACATTTGATAATGACCTGTCACATAAGCTTTCTCAATATAGAATGTCTATACTGGTGGTTAGGCCTGGGTTTTCAAAGTTAAACGGTTTATTACAATGTAAGAGCGATGTATGGATGTGTTTTCACTGTTTTGCTACTTAGGTTCTTTGCATCTTCAGATGATACCATCTCTGTAGTCCCCAGTTTCCATTGCTCAGCTGTTGGAAAAGGGCTTTCAGTGAATGACTTTTTCATCATACCATATTAGATCCTTGTCAGTATTTGCACAGTGTATGCGCTTTATTATTACATATGCTCTACTTTTATAGGGCCTGTTTTTGTTTTAATTATCAAACTACTCTGTCATTTATAGTAAGTAATCAGTGCTCTGCTAAAAAGCAAATGGCAATTTAATCACAAAATTCTAATATAGCCGATAGACATGCTTATGTGATACTTAAAACGTTAATTTTATCGGCTGTTCATGTGTATGTTGTAGGAGTATTTCACTGAGATCTCTTATTTTTTGGGCATATAGACCAGATTATTGCATCTCATATTTATGAAAATAGCAATATGGAATATGAAGGAAAGATAAATCATTCTTGTACTATGTGTAAAATTCGAAAAACAAAATTGCAAATGACTTCAACACTAATTAGTAAAAAATAAATGTTTAGCCAAACTCAAATTCAGTTATACTATCTATTGTTGAAAGGGAAAGTGTACTAGGCAGAGAGGAAAAGATTTTACAGTATGGATGTGAAAGAAAATTTTTGTACTCTACTATGGTATAAGACTGCCAGTTTCTGTGGAACACAAAGCCCTCCCTTTCTTGGACAGCTCAGTGCTTTGCTGGCATTTTCTTCAAAATCTGTTTTCCATCAGGACCAAGAGGAGGGAAGGTGTTAGGAATAAGGGAGGTTGGAAAGGGGGTTGCTGTTCCTTTAAATAGTGCAGTGAGTCCATGTGGCAGCAGGCCGCTCTGGAGTGTATTCTTTTGTAATGAATCACCAGTTCCATTGTCTGCTATCTCCCCTCTTTGTAGCTGGAAGGCTGAAGTCTTTCACCTGAGCTGCTGCCAGTTCGCTCTTCTGTTCCTGGGTGGTTGGGAGAAGAGAAGAGGGAGGGTATTTTATGCTTTAATTAAAGACAGATAAGAGAGCAGGTATGTTTTGCTTTGTTTCATTTTCTCTTTTCCTGTTTTTGTTTGTCTGGTTTTTGAAAGGAGTTGGAGTAGAGAATCTATTCTGTGATTTTGCTAAGCATATCCCATTTTCTTTGAATTCTGGAGGTCCTCTCAGCATTTAGTCTCCATTTTGTGGCACTGCTTTAAAGTGATTCCATTCGGTTGCCTGCCAGTCATGCTCCCTTGCCACTCGAACCTTATCCCACCCTTCATCCACGGAGCTGCAGCCACACTGTTTGTTTTGGCACACTTTCCACTTTCTATGGGCTTTGCAGGATTTGGGGAGTTGGAGGATAGGCGGGGATTGTGGGTTGGAGACTGAATTTATGTTCCTTTACAATGAAAAAAAAAAGCCTCACTTTTTCCAGAGATTTGGTTTCTTTCTGAATTCTTCTACATTGCTCCATATCTTCAGTTATAATCATTTCTTCGCTGAGGCCAAGATTGTCTCTTGAAAAGTATTGCTTTTCTAAAAATTACTTAGCTTTCTTGAAAAGATAAACAGAATTTCATAAATGAAGCTATGATGAAATCCGAGCAATCTTGACTCATTAAATTGTTTTTTCCGTCTTAGTCACCCCCTAATCACACACACTTTTCTCTTTCTTTTTTGGCCCCCTTCTCTATTTTTTCCTTTATCTTTCTCCTTAGCTTTGCAATTGAGTCTAGGTAAGCTTAATATTTGACAACCTATTACTTAAATTTGTATTGCTACAGGAGACATCTTCATATTGAACAGTAATGACATTCCTCATTCCTCTCAGTGATAAGGCATAAGCTCAAATTCCTGGTTTTGTTCCTCCAGTTTTCTGTTCTCCCCTGAGAAATTCCAAACTCTGATCTACACAGATTGCCATATGTAAACAATTTTATCTCTCTCAAATTTGAACTTTTCATCATGTAATTCCTTACCTAGGGGTTGTTTCTTGGACATCTGTTTATGGTAGACAGATAGTTTCTGGGAACCAGTCATACTAGGTGATACAGCCCCCCCTTACCCACCCTGGTCTCCTTCTGGTATACCATTCCTCTCCGGGATCTGACATTATTGGTATCCCACATGTTCCCTTCCGAAGTCATAATTCCTCACTCTTTTTTTTCAACATTTCCAAACCACTGTCAAATCTTTTTTGAACATTTCCTCCCAACATTTTGTATGTGAAATTTGCCAGGCACAAATACAAGGCTCCCCTGCAGTAAATACTTTGCTCTTTTGATTGTAGCACCTTTCTTAGTGGGCTCCAGTGTTCAACCTCTTCTAGGCAGTGAGAAATGCTGCATTCTGCCATCACAATGTATTGTGTCTATTCCCCAGACTCTTAAATGTTTCTCTATTACTATTAGAATGATTAAATTCAGGAAACTAATTCATTAGAGGTCATTGCCAGAGTGAATCATTTAAAATGCAAGTCTGATTTTGTCATTCCTGTGCTTATACCTTACAGTTGCTCCCCTTCAGTCTCTGAATAAAATCCTGTGACCCTGCATGATCAGGAACCTGGCTGTCTCTCTAGTCTCATCTCCTGCCATCCTTTTCTTTCTGTATTTCATTCTAATGACACTGGCCTCTTTGCTGTTCTCTTAACATGCCTAAGACCCTCCTGCTCAGGACCCTTCTGCTTTTCTCCCTGCCCAAAATGTCTTCCCACTGGTACCCATATGGTTTGTTCTACTCTTGAATATTTCTTCTCAAGGGCGACCTCTCCCTTAACTTTCCTAGCTAAACCAGCACTCCCTCATCACTCCTACCTTCATTCTGCTTTGTCTTCACTTGTCACTGATTTTAGTTCTTACCGTTGATTGTTATATGTTTGTTTGTTGTCTGTCTCCTCCCCGACCCCAAACAGAAGCTCCCTGAGATCAGGATCCTCGTCAGCAGTCTGTTGTATTCCCAGTGTGTAGAACAGTGCCTGGCACATAGTCATAATAAAAATAGCTAATCTTTATATATGCTTATGATGCATTAATATCAGATACCGTTCTAAGCACTTTACCCTCATTAACTCATTGAATCCTCTCAGCAGCTCTGTGTTATCTCCATTGTACAAAAGAGGAAACTAGGCATATGACGGTTAAGTAACTTGCCCAAGTTCAGACAGCTACTAAGAGATGTTGTGGGGAATGATATCCAGACAGACTGGCTTAGAAATTGATATTCTTAACCACTGTACTCTAATGCCCCTTGTAGGTATTGGGTATTCAGTAAATATTTGTTGAATGTGTGAATAAATTAATTTAGTTGAGACTCTGATTCATTTCTGAAATTTCCATCCCTGACTTAAGACTTTGATAAAACACTTGCAGTAATGGAATTCATTGTTGAATAAGATTACTTCATTCTTATAATATGTAATAAAGTATACATTATTCTATGATAAAAATATTAATATTATCTAATAATACTAAATAATAATGCAGAGCACATACTGTGCATTAAGCATTGTCTTAAGTGCTTTACATATTTTAGAGCATTTATTCCACTCAGCAGCCTTATATACTTACTCAGCAGTACTATTAATGTCCATGTTGTAGAAATTAGGAAACCCAAGGAGTTTGGCTCCAGCATTTCTGTTCTTAACCACCACTAATAATGACCATTATAAAAATGTTTTTGTTTTTTTATACCTACTTTGTGCCAGTCAATTTTACATACATAGCACATTTACAAACATAATTATTCATATTATGTATCACTTGTCAATCATCTTTGAGATAGGTGAGGTTTTTCCCATTTTTTGCAGGAGACTTTGAGATTCTAAAGATCAGGCAGCCTGGAAACAGAGAGAGATAGGTTTCAAACTGGAGATCTATTTAGTCCCAAATTCGCATGCTCTTCCATTATTCTGTGAACCTCATAAGATAAATAGTTCCATTGTTGGCCATGATAAGTAGAAAAGTTTTCTTTATGAGCTGAAATCTGTTTTCATGATTGTCTTCTCACTCCTTCTCATTTTCTCATCTGGAGTTGCATTGAGTGGTTTCATGTCTTCTACATAAAAACCAAATATTTGAAGATACTGCTGAACGTTCCCTTTAATCTTCTGTTGCCTTGCTTATTTTTCCTACTTCCTTGAATTACTCCTCATAGATATGAAAACATACGGTTTCCAGAATGTTTACTGACTGTCCTGGACTAGTTGCATTAATTTATATGAATGATTTGTCATTTATGTCTAATCACTAAGTAAAAATATCAATTATGATTACTTTTTAAGTTTTATTGATGCATAATTATACATATTTATGGGGTACATATGATATTTTGATACATGCGTATAATGTGTAATGATCAAATCAGTAATTAGGATACCCATGACCTCAAATATTTATCATTTCTTTGTATAGAGAACATTTCAAATCTCCCCTTCTAGCTATTTTGAAATACACAATAAATTATTGTTAACTATAGTCACTGTGCTGTTGAATATTAGAACTTCTTCTTCTTCTTTGTTTTGGAGACTGAATCTCACTATGTTGCCCAGGCTGGAGTACAGTGGTGCAGTCTTGGCTCAGATCTTGGCTCACTGCAATCTGCGCCTCCTGGGTTCAAGTGATTCTCCTGCCTCAGCCTCCCAAGTAGGTAGGACTACGGGTGCATGCCACCACACCTGGCTAATTTTGTAATTTTAGTAGAGACAGGGTTTCACCATGTTGGCCAGGCTGCTCTCGAAATTCTGACCTCAAGTGATCTGCCTGCCTCTGCATCCCAGAGTGCTTGGATTACAGGTGCGAGCCACTGCACCTGGCCAAGAACTTATTTCTTCTGTGTTTTTGTACCCAGTAACCAACCTCTCTCCATCCCCTGCCTCCTTCCCAGCATTTGCTAAACATTCTACAGTTATGAGTATTAAGTATCATATCTTTGTTATAAGTTTTGTTTTATGATAACATGTTTGGCTTTAGTCAGTTTCTTTTTTGTTGTTTTTGAGACAGGGTCTCACTCTTTCGCCCAGGTTGGAATGTAGTGGTGTGATCTCGGCTCACTGCAACCTCCGCCTCCTGGGTTCAAGTGATTATCCTGCCTCAGCCTCCCAAGTAGCTGGGACTACAGGTGTGCGTCACCATGCCCAGTTAATTTTTGTACTTTTTGGTAGAGACAGGGTTTCACCATGTTGGCCAGACTGGTCTTGAACTCCTGACCTCAGGTGATACACCTGCCTCGACCTCCCAAAGTGCTGGGATTACTGGCGTGAGCCATCGCATACAACTGGCTTTAGTCAGTTTGTATAGCTCATTGAACATGTAGTGTTGTTGGCAATTTATAATTTCAAAAATGAAGGGATATTACCTTGAACTCCTAAAAAGAATAAATAGAATATTGTTTTTCTCTCCACTATAAAGCATGCCCTCAGCTGATTGGCAGGAATCTACCTGTCTTTTAGTATCTGAGTCTTGCCCTGATCCCTCAAAGGTTACTGTCACTGAGTAATGGAAGTCAATAATTATTTTATGAAATTATAAATGAATGCTTTTATGTCCACAAATGATACAACTGTATTCTTTTTTCCTAATGTTAATTATGATTCCTCATAAGAAGTTTGGAAGAGACAAACTGGGACTTAAGTGAAGGAGATTGGGTTTTGAAAAGACTCTTAACTGAGAGCAAAGATCCACGAACTTTTTCTGTAAAGGGCCAGATAGTAAACAATTTTGGCTTTGCAAGCCATGTTGTTTCTGTCACAACTACCCGGCTGTGCTGATGAAGCATTGAAGAAGCTATAGATGATAAGTAAATGAATCGTTGGTTGTAGCTGTGTTCC
The DNA here is from genome assembly GCF_000001405.40 of Homo sapiens. Lineage (NCBI taxonomy): Eukaryota > Metazoa > Chordata > Mammalia > Primates > Hominidae > Homo > Homo sapiens. The sequence continues at coordinate 35,831,538 of NC_000022.11, read as the reverse complement.
AGTAAAACTATTTACGGACACTGAAATTTAAGTTCCATGTAATATGTATGTGTCACAAAATATGATTCTTTTAACTTTATTTTTAATTTATTATTATTTTTTTTTTGAGACAGAGTCTCTCACTATCACCCAGGCTGGAGTGCAGTGGTGCGATCTCGGATCACTGCCAGCTCTGCCTCCTGGGTTCACGCCATTCTCCTGCCTCAGCCTCCCAAGGGCAGGTGCCTGCCACCATGCCTGGCTAATTTTTTGTAATTTTAGTAGAGACAGGATTTCACCATGTTAGCCAGGATGGTCTCGATCTCCTGACCTTGTGATCTGCCCACCTCGGCCTCCCAAAGTGCTGGGATTACAGGCGTAAGCCACCGTGCCTGGCCTCTTAACTATTTAAAAACGTAAAACCATGCTTAGCTTGCAGGTTATGCAAAAGTAGGTGGAGGGCTGGCTTTGAACCACAAGCTATAGTTTGCTGATCCCTGACTCAGAGGGATACAGGACCTCGCAATTTCCTTTATAGCATACGTAAGGTTTTCCCATATAGCTTCATGACAGAGAGACAGTTTTGAGTGGTTCTAGCAGGTCATGATGGATCCCTTTTATAATAGAATGAATCCCCTGATTTGCTCTCTTATTTCCCCAGCCCCAGAAAATATGAAGATTCTTCTCCTTCTTTACTTCCTTTCTCCCTCCATATGCTGTATTTTATACCTTATTGCTTTTCATATACATTTTCATATTTTTTTAAAAACATTTTTCATGTAG